>NC_000009.12:34100909-34252424 GCF_000001405.40 Homo sapiens | reverse complement strand
CTTTAATGATGTACAACATAATACAAAACAAACCAGAGAGACTGATTTCTATGACTAGGTGTTATTCATTGTGTCATCCTAAAGCAGTGGGCTGGAGGGGAAGCTGTTCAAGGAGAACAGAGGTGGAGTTAGTGCTGGCCAACTAAATCATGGCCTGTCTGCTTACCCATTCAATGTGCTGGGAAGGGGCCAATGATTTCTTAAACTGTTTCCTAGAGCAGGGGCTCTAAAACCCTGGGTAGCAGAGGACTGTGGTCCAAACCAAGCCAAAAGAAACAGGCTGGGGTAGGGAAGCATGGTGACTGCCTGGCAGAAAAGGCAAACTCTGGGCCCCATAGGGAAAAGTGCATTCTTTGCACCTCAGAGATATTGCAGAACCAGTGTTAACACTATGAGACTTTGTTAGGAGGGGAAAAAATAAAACCCTGGAAGAATCTTTCACTTGAACTCAACTTGACTGGAGTTCAGTCCACCAGTCTCAGGGGAAGGGGGAAGCACCTAGCTCCACAGCAGCACTGAGTCTGGCCCTCCCGCCCCATCTCCCCAGCCCCTCTCAGCAACTAGGCCAGGCTTCAGCTGAGGACATAAACACCCCAGAAAGACTAGGGTAGTCTCTCCGGAGGGCTGAAGTGGGAAGGACACTTCTCAAAATGCAAATGCGTTTAATACGGAAGGAGCCAGGACAGTTCTGGGGGCACTCACATGCCCGAATCTTCCCCACCTCCCCAGCTCAGGGCCTAGGCTCACAGAGACTGGCGAGCAGTCTCCACACCTGACCTTCTAACCCCCAAAAGAAAATCCGGAAGCTGCCCCTTCTCTTTCCCCACAGGTGGGCTCTGCAGGGCCTCCCAGGGATGGTGGTTCTGCGGCAGGGCCTAGGCAGGGCCTGGTCTCAGCTGGCTCCTGCCCGAGCCATGAGGTCTTCCAAAGCATTGTCCTGGTCATTGTTGTGTAATAGCAAAACTTCCTTAATGTCTTTCAGCTCAAAGCCCATCTCCTTAAATTTGCTCATTAACTGAAGAAACTCCATCATCTAAGGGAGAGAAGAGAACACAGATTAAAGAAAAGGGTGGGGTCACAGCACAGCTGAGTGAAGGAGTGTGTGTGTGGGACGGGGACTGGGGGAGAGCAGAATGTCTACATCCTTCCCCCAGAGCCCCGTGAGTCTCCATAAGGTCCCCTAGCAAGCAGAGGTGGGCTGTGGTGGAAGCCAAGGCAAACGGGTTTGGTGACGGCCATCAACCTTCAGGAGTCAGCCCAGTCCCAGCTCACTGTTGCTGAGCTCTGTCTGGGTCCCACCACCCACATCCATCTTCCCACCAAGGAAGGATACTGAACCCAGAAATGGCTGCTCTTCAAAGAGCAGTCTAGGCAAAAAGTCCAGCAATCTCCCTCCCTAATCATCTAAGAAGTTTGGCTTTTAGCCCAGGCCAATATTCCCTTCCCTTCACTGGGATTCTGAAGTTTTCAACCCAATGCTTCAACCACCAAGCCAAACGCAGGCCTCGGCCTGTCTGAATACTTGGGAGATTCTGCCCTTCAAATACTTGTACCTGTAGTCACTGGCAAAGCAAAAAGGTTGTGTGTGGGCCAAGGGAGAAAACCAGGATGGATACTTGGTCCCTCCTTTTCCAGAGGGTTCCCAAGAAACATGAAGATTCCCACCTTTTCTTCTGAACACTGGTGCATTTCCAGAGCCTCTTCCACTAAAAGAGGGTCGAAGCCCTTCTCACAAAGCTGTCCATGTGCAAAGAGATAGTCGAGAATCTAAGAAAAGAAACAAGGGGTTTAGCACCTACTGCTGCTCTTTGCTGTGCTTTCCAAGAGACCTCAACAAACTAGTGTGTGAAGTCCGTTCTCCGCCCCACCCAGGCCGTCAGATACTGGATAGGATTTGATTTTGTGCCTTGACTGTGTCCAACACAACAGGACCCCAGTGACTCTTTAATGAACACAGGCACAGCCTTCTAAACAGGAGCAGGCATTTTCCAAAGGAGTTGCAGCCACAGCTGACACGCCCACCAGAATGGTCAACTCCACAGCCTGGGCAGGCGGCTACTCTAAGAAAACAGCCCAAGTCAGAAAATGTCACCAAGGTCTAACACTCCAGTACCCTAATTCAACACTCTGGGCATAGATGACAGGATGAAAATTCCTGGAAAGAGACATTTGACCATACCCCAAGCCTAGCTCTGCCCCTTTTGGAGAGGCAGAGAAAGGAGGGGGTAGTTGGAGAACAGCTCCAATTCTCCCAAAGCTGTCTCTCAGCCTGGGTCCCGGAATAGCTTCCAAAAGAAGTACTGCTCCCAAGGCTGCTGGCTTTCCCCAAAACATGCCCCGTGTCCTCACAAACCCACAGGAAAGGAGGTTGGTGCTACAAGTCTGAGGGGCTCTAGGACAGGGGAGGACACTACTCCAGCTCCACAGGTCTGAGCCTGCCCTCCTGGCTGACCAACCGCTCACCTGCTCAATATTCTCTCCTTTCTTCTTCATGGCTCTGAGGACACACTCGTACGAGTAGCCCATGTTGACCACCGTCTCCACACACTGCCGCTCGCTGGGGGACAGCATCTGCAGTTCAGAATAGGCCTGGGGACAGCTGGGCATGTTGGGCACTTGTGACACTGAGAAATTAGGAGGGGTGACCTAGTGGAAAAACAAGAAGATTAAGGCAAGAAGACCTGGGCCCCCAAAGAAGTCACTGAGGCAGCCTAGTCCAGGGGTTGGCATTTCTGACACTATTCAAGCCCCAAGAAAAGCGGTCAGGTTGGAAGAAATCGCCAGGTTGCTGGTCAGACACCCTGAAAAGGAACAAAGAGGGGTAGGGGAGTGCCAGCTGAGAGGGAAAAAGGTGGGAGGTCACCTGCAATTGTGGCTGTCCTGCTCTGCCCTAGTCCCACTTTGGTGATTGAGAAAGCGCCACAACACGACAGGCCCTTGCATGCCCAAATCTCCAGGATTTGAGTTGAAGAAAGAAGCTGTGGCTGCCCCCGGGACTGATGTCCAAGCTGGCTGCGATTTCTCTCCAGCATTATCCCTTTCCCAGGCTGAAGTATCAGTTCTGAGGCATCATTTTTCACTTCAAATACTCCCACTTTGGAGCTAACTCTATCCCAAAGTCTCTACTCTTCGGCAGAGGCTGTGAGTGTGGTTCCCATGCATGGACAGCTTAGGAACCTGGACAGCTCAGGAACCCAGGGTTTTGAGGGTACTCCACACCTTTGCCCTACATCATGTACTGTGCTTCGTTTCCTGCCAAAGCTGCCATCCTACAGTGCCAGGACAGAAGGCATACTAGCCACACCAGGCTGGATCCCACAGACTGGAATCTGGACTCTAGGGACCTGCCCACCAGCTACAGGCAGCCTGCTCCCTGCCACTGGAACTTACTAACCCCAGTCGGATAGGCGTACAGAGTGCCGTGATTAACTCCCCCACCACTTCTGATCACAAATCAAGCCCAAGGCAGGAAGACAGCACACTCCCAGGCCAAAGGACCCACTGACCACAGGAACGAGGTCACAAGCCCTTTTACAGCTTGGCGCAGGTCCCAAGAACCAGGGAAGATGTTCACACAAAAATTTTTTTATTTCCTTGTTTTATTGGTGGGGAGAGGGAGCATGGTTAGGTGGTAGGAAGCCCTCTGTCCTAGAAGCAAGTTCGAAATTATACAGATGTAACCAGATGCTCTCCTCAAAGTCTGCTGGGGAAAGCCAGGATGGCTATAGGCCTCAGAGCCCATTCTGTTGGTGCTTAACCATCTCACCCACAGCACACACTCAGCAGCCCAAGCACAGGGCTGTCATTATGGTACAAGAGTCACAATAAGGCACAGGGATTGGATCACACCAGTCTAGCCACTTGGCAGGTCTAAGATTGTGTCTCCCTCTTTAGAGACGGGCTTTAACCTGGGCTAAAGAAACCAACAGCCACAGAGCAATGCCAGCTCTCACATGACATTCCCCAGCCAGGAAGGAGTCAGGACTATTCTTCAACTGCCTGCCCTTCTCATAATGCCTCCTAAATGCCTGGTGGGATGCAGGCATACACCCAGAATACTGCACATTACAAATGTTAATAAAATCATATCTAGCCAGGTGCGGTGGCTCACGCCTGTAATCCCAGCACTTTGGGAGGCCGAGGCAGGTGGATCATGAGGTCAGGAGTTTGAGACCAGCCTGGCCAACATAGTGAAACCCCATCTCTACTAAAAATACAAAAATCAGCCGGGTGTGGTGGCACATGCCTGTAGTCCCAGCTACTCGGGAGGCTGAGGTGGGAAAATCGCTTGAACCCGGGAGGTGGAGGTTGCAGTGAGTGGAGACCATGCCATTGCACTCCAGCCTGGGTGACAGAGTGAGACTGTCTGAAAAAAAAAAAAATCGTATCTATTTTAAACATACATGCAGTACTCTCACATACCCTACTGGTGGAAATGTTATTTGGTATGCTTTAGGTAAACATGGCATAAATCCAGAAAACTGCTCAGATTCTTTGATCCAGTTACCTATTTCTAGGAAACTAGTCTGAAGAAATAATAATAATGCAAACCAATATTTATGTATAGGAATATATCCATCTCAACATCATTTGTAATAAATTTTAGGGACAACCTACCAAATATCCAGCACAGGGTGTTAGGTTAGCAAATAATGAACATACGACTGTTAATTATTTAAAGCATCTGAATTAAGTGAAAAAACAGCGGGTGAGGTGTCTCACACCTGTAATCCCAGCACTTTGGGGGGCAAGGCAGGCAGACCACCTGAGGTCGGGAGTTCAAGACCAGCCTGACCAACACGGAGAAACCCCATCTCTACTAAAAATACAAAATGGGCCAAGTGTGGTGGTGCATTCCTGTAATCCCAACTACTTGGGAGGCTGAGGTAGGAGGATCACTTGAACCCAGAAGGCGGAGGTCTCAGTGGGCCAAGATTGCGCCACTGCACTCCAGCCTGGTTGACACAGCGAGACACCGTCTCTAAATAAATAAATAAATAAGAAAAAAAGATATATTTATTAATTGTACATGCTCTACAATATTTTTTAAAGATGCACGGGATATTAAATGACTGATTTTAAATGGATGATTTAAAAGTATCATCTATCCTAACAGATGATACTTTTCTTGAACAGGGACAAACAAAATAAGATGTCACCTTCATATAAATGTTTCATGAATCAAACAGGCAACAGGCTAATCCAGCAGACCCCAAACGGACAGACAAGGTTTGAAAGGATCCCTCATCAAAATTATAACAGTGTTTAGTTTCTCCAGTTACTCACCAAATTTATTTACTCCAGGGTACCATTTTCAAATATATATAAGGCTCTTAGGAGTAATCTAGATATGACTTTTTAAACACCATTAACTGCATTCATGGTAGCCATTTGTCATTATTTTTTCAATAAAAGAATAGTAAAATTTACTTCCTGCAGGGGCAAAGGTTGACTCTGGCATAAAAAGGGATTTTCATACTCGATGACTGAAGTGCTCCATATTTGTAACCAAGTAGAAACTAGACAAAAATGAGAATTATTATGAAATCTTTCCAAATTAAATATGAGTGTTTGAGGGAAAGTACGTTTGTGAAAGGAGACAAATATTAGTGCTCAAGCTTCTGAAGAGTCTCAGCATGCTCTCAGGCCTCAGAAGGTGGCAGTCCTTTCTGTACCTATGTGGCCCTCAAGCCTAACCTCAAGACAGCTTCTACCAAGTCTTTCCATAAACCTCCTTTTAACCCACTGCTAATGTGTGTGCACAACTCAGCGGACACACTGCCACCTGTGGTCCCACAGAGCTTTAGTCACACTGCTGGCAAAGTACTTATCACATTACATTAGTGTGAGCTTGCAGAGAGGTCAGTTACCATGTCATGCCCATTTCTAAATCCCCAGGGCCTGACTCTTGGCTTTACACTTACTGGTCTTCATCAACAGTTGTGGAATAAATTGAAGTCCATTAGAATTTTCAAAGGGAGAATTTCATTTAACACACTAAAATGTCTTTACCATCTCTTCTTCCCAAAAGCCCACTAAAATGATCATAAACAAACTAAGGCCAGGAGCAATGGCTCATGCCTATAATCCCAGCACTTTGGGAGGCTGAGGCAGAAGGACTGCTTAAGCTCAGAATTTTGAGACCAGCCTGGACAACATAGTTGAGACTCATCTCTACAAAACACAAAAAGTTAGCCAGGTGTGGTGGCACGTGCCTGTAGTCCCAGCTACCCAGAAGGCTGAGGCAGGAGGATCACTTGAGCCCAGGAGGTCGAGGCTGCAGTGAGCCGTGATTACAGAGCAAGACCCTGTCTCAAAAAAAATAATAAAAAT
Source organism: Homo sapiens (assembly GCF_000001405.40). Classification (NCBI taxonomy): domain Eukaryota; kingdom Metazoa; phylum Chordata; class Mammalia; order Primates; family Hominidae; genus Homo; species Homo sapiens. The sequence continues at coordinate 34,246,091 of NC_000009.12, read as the reverse complement.
TTAAAAATAAAGAATTAAAACTGTATTCATCTTTAAAGCAATAAAAGGAAAGGGGGTAGCAGTGGACAATATATTTCTTATTCTTTTTAAATAAAGAAACAAAGACAAGATCTCAGTATGCTGCCCAGGCTGATCTCGAAGTCCTGGGCTCAAGCAATCCTCCCACCTCGGCCTCCCAAAATGCTGGGATTACTGGTGTGATATATTTCAATGAAATTTTAGAATGTGGAAAGATAATGAAGGGATGGTAATTGCCAGCAATGAAGTTATAAACTAAGTAAGTAAGTAGGAAAGGGGGGAGTCAGTCTATCAGCCCATTAGGATCCCTAAGAGGGGCTCAGACTCTGGAAGCACCAGGTACTGTTGGGATAAGGCAAAGATACACACAGTCAGTGATCAGAGCAGTAAAGCCCTTGGTGAAACAGTCCCCATTCATCCCCACCCTGTGCAGGAGGCAGAAGGTATAGTCTCCAGAAAATGGGAACCAGAGACCAAAGAGGACTAAGCACCAGGCACAGTGTGGGGCAGAGTGAAGTGAAAGAACTTAAACAAGGATTAAGTAAAAGCAACACACCAGCATTCCCCAACATCAGTCCTCAGCCAGAATTCTCTGGAGAAACCCTCACCCAAGCCCTTCACATGTTTACATTTTGGGGACTTCCCCGGCAAAGCCAATTAACTTTCAACCTATAGTGAAGCTTAATGATCAGCAAGCACACCTCTGACACACAAACTTTGTGACTGTTATTTTTTTAGTGCCTCATACTTAAACGTGAATAGAAAGCCAAAGCCACCAGCATGAAAACACCAAACCAAAAGAGGGAATAGACAAAGCACTTGGAAATTTAAAATATGATAAAGTAAAAATTGTATTTAAAAGGTAGTAAGATTTAGGCTGGGCATGGTGGCTCATGCTTGTAATCCCAACACTTTGGGAGGCTGAGGCAGGAGGATCACTTGAGCCCAGGAGTTCAAGACCAGCCTGGGCAAACAGTGAGACCCCCAACTCTACAAAAATCAGCTGGGCATAGTGGTGCACACCTGTAGTCCCAGACAGGAGGCTGAGGCAGTAAGCTGCACCCCAGCCTAGGGGACAAAAATCCCATCTCTTAAAAAATAATCACCTACTATCAAGTTCAGGGGGAAAAATAAATTAAATAAAATAAAAGGTTGTAAGATTTAGTAGTTTTTTTTTGAAGTTGTAAGTTAAGGATATGTCCCAGAAAGTAAAACATAAACAAGATCTGCACTCTCATGTTTGTTGCAGCCCTGTTCACAATAGCCAAGATTTGGAAGCAACCTAAGTGTCCATCAAGAGATGAATGGATAGGCCAGGTGCAGTGGCTCACACCTATAATCCCAGCACTTTGGGAGGCCGAGGCAGGTGCATCACCTGAGGTCAAGAGTTTGAGACCAGCCTGACCAATATGATGAAACCCCGTCTGTACTAAAAATAGAACAATTAGCCAGGCGTGGTGGCACATGCCTGTAATCCCAGCTACATGGGAGGCTGAGGCAGGAGAATCACTTGAACCCGGGAGGCGGAGGTTGCAGTGAGCCGAGATCGCAACATTGCACGCCAGCTTGAACAACAAGAGCAAAATCTGTCTCCAAAGAAAAAAAAAAAGAGTAAAGTGAAAGAACTTAAACAAGGATGGATTAAAAAAATGTGGTGCTCGTACACAATGGAGTACCGTTCAGCCATGAAAAAGAATGAGATCCTGTCATTTGCAACAACATGGATGGAACTGGAGATCATTATGTTAAGTGAAATAAGCCAGGCATAGAAAGACAAACATCACATGTTCTCACTTATGTGTGTGATCTAAAAATCAAAGCAATTGAACCCATGGACATAGACACTAGAAGGATGGTTACCACAGGGGCTGAGAAGGGTAGTAGTCGGGGGCTGGTGGTTAATAGGTACAAAAAAAATAGAAAGAATGGCTGTGTGCGGTGACTCACACCTGTAATCCCAGCATTTGGGAGGCCGAGGCGGGCGGATCACGAGGTCAGGAGTTCAAGACCAGCCTGGCCAAGATGGTGAAACCCCGTCTCTACTAAAAATACAAAAATTAGCTGCGCATGGTGGCAGGCGCCTGTAATCCCTGCTACTCTGGAGGCTGAGGCAGAAGAATCCCTTGAACCCAGGAGGCAGAGGTTGCAGTGAGCCAAAATCACGCCACTGCACTCCAGCCTGGGCGACAGAGCGAGACTCTGTTGAAGAAAAAAGCAAAGAAAAAAATAGAATAAGATCTACCATTTGATAAGACAACAGGGTGATTATAGTCAATATTTAATTGGCCAGCCACTGTGGCTCACACCTGTAATCCCAGCACTTTGGGAGGCTGAGGCGGGTGGATCACTTGAGCACAGGAGTTCCAGACCAGCCTGGCCAACATGGCGAAACCCTATCTCTGCTAAAAATACAAAAATGAGCCGAGCACGATAGCACATGCCTGTAATCCCAGCTACTTGGCAGGCTGCGAGAGGCAGGACAATCGCCCGACCCTGGGAGGTGGAGGTTGCAGTGAGCAGAGATCACACCACTACATTCCAGCCTGGGTGACAGAATTAGAATCTGTCTCAAAAAAAAAAAAAAGAAAAAAGAAACACCAGAACTCCAGCTCTGTTTATACCTGCAGGTGGAAGGCAGCAAATTCTCAAGCCAACAAGAAGCAGGCCTCTTCCCATCCTGAGATGAACAGGTCAGAAAGAAACTCCCATCATCAGGCTGGTCAAAGAATGACAAGCGTTCTAGTTTGAGAAAGATCTCTGCTGTTAGTTTATTGGCTTTGATCTCTAAATGGTTAATCTAACTTTAAATGAGAGGAAGGGAGTGTTGGCCAAGGATCCCTGATCTTTTCCAGGGAGATTTTAATTTCTCTAAAGCATTCAAAGTACCATGAAAAGGAAGAAGTACAGTGCTGACCAGAGCCCAACAACTGACCAAGAGGAATTAGAATGAAGCCCACTCCAAGAAGATAATAATGGTGTTCGGCACTCTATCAAGTTTACCCGGGCCAAGGTTTATGGAAGTTTACAAGCAGCTATGAGCTCTCTGACAATAGAAGCATTCACACAGACTATCATTGACCAAGAATGCTATTACTGGGACTTGTAAAGCAGGCCAAGATTTTGTATCTTTTTACCAGCTAATAGCAGGCTTGTTATGGTCTCTGACAGATATCCCACCAATATACTCAGGCTCCTTTTTGGCTCTAAATAGTCTCTTGATGTGCTTTTACATTAAAAAATCTGTAAGCTGGCCGGACACAGCGGCTCACCCCTGTAATCCCAGGAATTTGGGAGGTGGAGGCAGGTGGATCAACTAAGGTCAGGAGTTTGAGACCAGCCTCGGAAACGTGGTAAAACCCCGTCTCTACTAAAAATACAAAAATTAGCTGAGTGTGGTGGCATATGCCTGTAGTCCCAGCTATTCGGGAAGCTGAGGCAGGAGAATTGCGTGAGAGGTGGAGGTTGGCAGTGAGCCGAGATGGTGCCACTGCACTCCAGCCTGGGCGACAGAGCAAGACTCTGTCTCAAAAAAAAGAAAGGAAAAGAAATCTGTAAGCTGGTGTAGCAAAAGGTTCTTGACTTCTATTGATTTCTATTCTAGAATGCAATAATGTGTTGTTCTGTACTGCCAGTCTTGGTGGCTCACACCTGTAATCCCAGCACTTTGGAAGGCCAAGGCAGGCAGATAACTTGAAGTCAGGAGTTTGAGACCAGCCTGGGCAACGTGTCAAAACCGCATCTCTACAAAAAACACAAAAATTAGGTGTGATGGCATGTGCCTGTTGTCCCAACAGGCTTGAGCCCGGGAGGTCGAGGCTACAATAAGGTACGATCACACCACTGCATTCCAGCCTGGGCAACAGAATGAGACCCTGTCTCGAAAAAAATCAACCAAACAACAAGAAAAAACATAATCCCTGTCATCAGGAAAATATGGGAGTCGGCGGGGGATTTAAAAGACTTACCGTGGGACCAGTATTTGGAGGTGATGATTCCTCTGTGCACACAGACAAAACAGAGAGGGAAGGCATCTGGGAGGATGTCAGGGCTGGCATCTCTGTGCCACTGTCCAAGTTCAAAGCTGAAAGCCCAAGAGTGTGATGCCCATTGAGCTCACTGGCACTGCTTTGGGTGGAAGGCTTTAGGGAATTCTGGAACGTGCCATTGCGGAGGCAGGATGTGCTATGGAAAGTGCTCGCCAGCTTGGCTGTCTTCTGATTGCTGTCATCAGAGTCAAGTTTGGGGAAAGACAGGGATTTGATATTGCTTACTGCAGGTATAGGGGGGAGGGACACTTTGGAAGACAGTGACATCTTTTCACAGTTGCCCAACTGTGGTAAGGTTATAAAGCCATTGGGTTTATGAAGAGGCTTGAAATCTAGGGTTGCCCGTTCCAAGGATGCCAGGACCTCCTCATCCTGTAACACAGACCCAGAGCCTCCCCTGGGCAAGTTATTGTCCAATAACTGAGCCATAATGGGTCCAGTGGTTCCTACCAGAATATTTCTCAGCTCTTCCTTCTCATCAATAGTTTTTAACTCCAGATTATCAAATGGGTCTTCTTCACACTCAAAGTCAGCAAGATTGAAATCCGCCTTTATGTGAGGTGGGCTGAGAACTTTCTGTTTCGTGGCACTACTGCTGACCCGAGTTGGTGTGAGGATGCTGTTGTGCTGCAAGCTGGCGAGGATGGGGTTAATAGGAGGTGGCATTGTGGCTGTACTGTGAGTCTTGGAGAAGCTCATTTTGCTATCGCCCTCTGGGCCACTCTTAGAATTCACTTTAGCTTCTGCTTCCGCAATTTTGCACTCTGCTTCCCGCTCGGCTTCTTCGATTTTCTTAATCTCTTCAGCCCACTCAATGGTTTTCTTTTCCAAAGAGAAGTCATACTGCAAAGATATAGCAGAGGAAGGGGGTGTGAACCCAGGTGGCCATCTTTACCCCACCACCCAATTCACTCCTTCCTCACTCCTGGTGCAAGAGGATAACCGGACAAGGCAGCATTTAAGGCGTGTGGGATGATCCCCACTTAAAAAGAGTAAGGCTTCCAATGTCCTTGTAAGATTTAACCAAACTATGTTCCCACAAGCCTCTTGTGGGCAGCAACCTGGCTACAGACCCTCCTTGGATCTCTATTATCTAGCACAATGTCCTAAACAAATCCCATGCTAGGTAATGATAGCCCCAAACATGTAAGAAATACCTGTAAGGTGCCATGCATGATTCTAAACACTTTTTATGCATTAACTCTCTAGATTTTCTCAATAACCTTTTAAAGTAACTACTATTATTCCTACTTAACAGGATCTACAACCAAGCATAAAGCTGGTAGCTAAATGGAAGAGCCTGGATTTGAACCCAGGCAGTCTGACTACAGATTCTATGCTCTTAAACCACTATCTATTAGATTATGATGAACAGGTTGCAGTTAAAATGCAGAAAAACTTATAAGAAATCAGATTAAGATTTTTACACAGCAAATTACACAAAGAGCCACTTCATGGTTCTTTAACAATATCTTAAGTATAGCTCAATTTACAAAAATTTATTTTGCACACTTAAGAGAAACAGACCTATTATATAAAGCAACATTCACATAGGACAGGAAAAAACAAAATCTTTGGCTTTCACCCCAAAGCACTAGAGCTAAACAGTATCTGTGTTAATGTCCAAGGTGAGAGACACACTAAAAGTAAAAAAGGGGGAAAAGAGAGGTCTAACGTGCTAACACCAGAATTTTAGAGAAGAAACATAGGAAAGAGCCCCTGGTCATACTCAAGCCATTCAAATTCAAACAACAAAAGAGAAGCCTAGAAAGGCACATGACAAGAAGTTACTTTACATCCTGAGCCAGCTGCTGTGCCTCAGATAGACATATGGGGGGATCACTGGGCTTCCTTTCTACCACTAATGGAACAATGAGAAAAGAGCAGTGGCAATGACTCTGCTCTTCTAACTGTGGAGAAAACCCAATTTTGCAATTGGTTCCCCTAATAAAAATGGAGGCTATAACTAACTTCCCATTGCCCTATAAACATTGTTCTTTGAAGTTTTATTTTAAAAAAATTGGAAATTTCTTTCCTTTTCTAGCAAACATTTATTGAACTTTTGTTTTTTAGTTACCAAAGTAATGTAGAATACTTGGAACGCAGAAAAAGCAGGGTGCGGTGCAGGGAGGGAGGGGGCTGAGGATGGCAGAAATATTAAAGTAGAAAAGAATGTGGTTTTGGAGTATAATAATAAATAATGTCATCTTGTATTTATGGAGTTCCAGGAACCAGAGTAAGCATTATAAATGCATTATTTAACTCTTCTAACAACCTTAAAAGCTAATCATCCTCATCCTCCCTTTACAGATGAAGAAATTGAGGCTTGCAGAAGTTAAAAAATCTGTCCAAGATTATATAGCTATTACAGGTCAATTCTCCAGCACATGTATGAGTGACACCAGAGGATGTTCTAAACCATGACACTAAGGGCTACCTCACGTGAGCCACATTCAACAGAAGCTTTCTGGACCCTAGAAGCAAGGGCTGTGTATGTTTTACTGGCTCACTCTAAAGAAATTTTAGCTGAAAAGTTGAGTTTGTATTGTCATGCAAAGGCAAATATGACAGTTATAGGAACTTTCAAGCCATCTGTCTAGAGCTCTAGGTCTGACTGTTCTCTGGGTACGGAGGGGACCAGATACAACACTACAACCCCATGGAGACTCCAGACAGTCAAAGTTTAAGGCTGCTTTGTAGGCCAGACAGGCTTGGCCTCCTTTGAGAGGCCAAGGTGGGCGGATCACTTGAGGTCAGGAGTTCGGGACCAGCCTGGTCAACATGGCAAAACCCTGTCTTCTACTAAAAATACAAAAATTAGCCAGGTGTGGTGGCACATGCCGTAGTCCCAGCTACTCAGGAGGCTAAGGCAGGAGAATCTCTTGAACCTGGGAGGTGGAGGTTGCAGTGAGCCAAGATGGCGCCACTGCACTCCAGCCTGGGCAAAAGAGCAAGACTCCATCTCAAAAAAAGATTGCTTTGTGCATTAGAGAACAAAAATATTTCACATGGCCCACATTGGAATGGAGCTCTTAGCTTTGATCTCCTTTTGTTATCAGTGGGTGCTATGAGCACAGTGAGCACATACCATGCTTTTATTGGTGCTTCAGACTGACCAAATGGGAAATTCCCAGCAAAGCCTAAATCGACAATTTGGGAATCAAAACAAGTTTTCTGAAGGCATCAGTAAAGCAGTGAATAATGAGAAACAAGACAGGTGTTTTTAAATCATATTGCTAATAGTATCATGTACAAAGGTAAGTAATGACTATTTGTTATTGCCAATAAAAAAATTCTTACACAAATAAAACATGGAAAAACGTTACAAAGTAGGTCTATCTCTCTTCTGGCCCAATAAAGTCTCCATACACAAAAGGAACATTAATTCAGTATTAAAGATACTTAAGATGCTTGACACCATTAGACATGAAAGAAATGCAAATAAAAACCACAATGAGAGACAACTTCTCACCCACAAGAATGTATATAATGAAAACGAGTTAATAAGAGTGGGCAAGGAAGTGAAGAAATTGGTACCCTCTTGTAGTGCTGCTGGGATTGTAAAATTGTGCAGCCACTTTGGAAAAATAGCAGTTCTTTAAAATGTTAAACATAGAGTTACTATGACCCAGCAATGCCATTCCTATACATTATACCCAAGAAAACTGAAAACATGTGTCCACACAAAAATCTGTTTACAGATGTTCAGAGCATCATTATTCATAATAGCCGAAAATTAGAAACTACCACAATGTCCCATCAACTGATGAACAGATAAACAAAGTGTGTTATATCCAAACAATGAAATATTATTCACCTACAAAAATAAATGAAGTACTAATACCTCATTCATACAACGTGGATAAACCTTGAAAACATTATGCTAAGTGAATAAGCCAGTCACCAAGGCTGCTACTGCAGAATTCCATTTATATGAAATGGCCAGAATAGGCAAACCCATAGAGACAGAAAGTAGATACTGGTTGCCAGAGGCTGCGAGGAGGCTGCCAGAGGCTGTGGGGAGTGACTTCTAGTGGACACTGGGTTTCCTTTTGGGGTGATGAAAATGTTCGGGAATTAGATAGTAATGATTATTACACAACTATGTGAATATATTAAAAATCACTGAACTGTATGTATACCTTAAAAAGGTGAATTTTGGCCGGGCATGGTGGCTGACACCTGTAATCCCAGCACTTTGGGAGGCTGAGGTGGGCAGATCACTTGAGGCCAGGAGCTCAAGACCAGCCTGGGCAACATGATGAAACCCCATCTCTACAAAAAATACAAAAATTAGCCAGGCATGGTGGTGCATGCCAATAGTCCCAGCTACTCAGGAGGCTGAGGAGGGAGGATCACCAAGCTCAGGGAGGTCGAGGCTGCAGTGAGCCATGACTGTGCCACTAGACTCCACCCTGAGTGACAGAGTGAGACTGTGTCTACAAATAAACCAAAAAAAGTTTTTTTTTAAAAAAAGGTAAATTTCATGGTATGTGAATTATATCTCAATAAATATTTTTTTTCTCCCAAAAGTAACTGAAGTTCCCTCATTATGATTACTTACTGCATATAGACTTTGGAAGATAAAAAAAGTAATACCTTTTAGAATAAAATGGTGATGCCTTAGTGAATTCCAGAAAAACAAAACTTCTTTTCCTGAAAGCTGCATTTTTAAAAATCTTCTTAAGTCACAGGAAGAAGAGTTAAAGTACCATATTTTTCTGTTGCTCTAGGTAACTTCTCTCAACTGTAAGTACCTTGAGGGCAGTGATTAAGGCATTTATCTCTACCTGCAGTGCCCAGTAGACCACCTCTCATAAACATGCGTTTAGTAAATGTGTACTGCAGTAAGTAAGTAACACAGGGCTATTTGTTGCTTTCAAGGAGTAACTCAGTACATTTCTATATAACTGAGCCTTAAAGATGGGAGGACTGAGAAAGAAGCCCTCGAAGAGATAGCATTTACACGCAATCTAGAATAGATTTGAACGGAGTTTTCAGTATAGTGAGAAAAAGAATATTCCAGGTGGAGATAACGGCTCATGAGCAGAAGCAACATATAGAGAGATAACGTACAAGGTCTAACAGACTACTAGTAACGTGGTTTGGAGGGAACATGGAGGAGGTGATGAGCTCAATTGCTTTGTCATAACCTTATGTCTAGACTATACTCAATAAGGACTGGTTAGTCATTGAACCCTTTTGAACAGTTATGAAAAGGGATGTGACAATTTAAAACTTTAAGATCATTCTAGAAACTATGTAAAAAATAGAAGGAAAACACCGCAAGCAGAAGGGCCAATTAAAGAGGCTACTGCAACAGCCCAGGTGAAAAATGAGGTCAGGCTGAACTGCAATGTGAGACACAGCAAATCTAACTTGAGTGACTGAAAAGAGAATGAGGACATTAGCAGAGAAAGGGAAAGAGGTGAAAAAGCTAGTTAAATGGGCAATGGGAATTTGGTCTGTGTGAGGTACAGGGCCCCAGGAATATACAATCTAACAGAGGACACAAAATCTGTATGTGTGTATAACAATGTGAGCCAGGCAACAATAGGAGCTATAAGAAACAAAAATAAGATAATACAGTCATAATGACAAGGATACGCTCTAAAAAATGCATGTTAGGTGATTTCATCGGTGAGGGCAGAGTGTATTTACACAAACCTAGATGGTACAGCCTGCTATACACCTAGGCTATACGGTATTGCTATGGTACAGTATTGCTCCTAGGCTATAAACCTGTATAGCATGTTACTATGCTGAATACTGTAGGCAATTGTAGCATAATGGCAAGTATTTATGTATCTAAACCTATCTAAACATAGAAAAGGTACAGTAAAAATATGGTATAAAAGATTAAAAATAGGCTGGGTGCAGTGGCTCACGCTTGTAATCCCAGCATTTTGGGAGGTCGAGGTGGGCGGATCAACTGAAGTCAGGAGCTCGAGACCAGCCTGACTAACATGGTGAAACCCTGACTCCACTAAAAATACAAAATTAGCCGGGCATGGTAGTGCACACCTGTAATCCCAGCTACTTAGAAGGCTGAGGCAGGAGAATTGCTTGAACCCAGGAGGTGGAGGCGGAGGTTACATAGAGACAGAAAGAGTCTCTCTTCTTGACGAGATCGCGCCATTGCACTCCAGCCTGGGCAACAAGAATGAAACTCCGTCTCAAAAAAAGAAAAAAAAAAAAAAAGATTAAAAATGGTCCACCTGTATAGGGCACTTACCATAAATGGAGCTTGTAGGACTGGAAGTTGCTCTGGGTGAGTGAGTAAGCGAATGGTAAATGTGAAGGCCTAGGACATTACTGTACAGTAGTACCCTTGACTTTATAAACACTGTACACTTAGGCTATACTAAATTTGTAAAAAACAATTTTTTGACCGGGCGCAGTGGCTCACGCCTGTAATTCCAGCACTTTGGGAGGCCAAGGCAGGCAGATCACGAGGTCAGGAGATTGAGACCATCCTGGCTAATACAGTGAAACCCCGTCTCTACTAAAAAATACAAAAAATTAGCCAGGCATGGTGGCGGGCGCCTGTAGTCCCAGCTACTCGGGAGGCTGAGGCAGGAGAATGGTGTGAACCCAGGAGGCAGAGCTTGCAGTGAGCCAAGATTGCACCGCTGCACTCCAGCCTGGGCGACAGAGTGAGACTCCGTCTCAAAAAAATACATACATATATATATACACACACACACACACACACACACATATATATATACACATATACACAAATGTAAAAAACAATTTTTCTCTAAATAATAACTCTAACTTACTGTGCCTTTTTAACTTTATAAACATTAAATTTTTTTAACTTTTTTACTCTTCCGAACTAATACTTAGCCTAAAATGTTTTTTATCTTCCAAAACATTTTTCTTTATACTCTTATTCTATAAGCTTTTTGATCTTTAAATTTTTTATTTTTTTACTTTTTAAACTTCTTTCTTAAAAATGAAGCCACACACACATCAGCCTAGGCCTATAGGATCATCAGTATCACTGTCTTCCACCTTCCCATCTTGTTTCACTGTATGGTCTTCAGGAGCAATACATGCATGGAGCTGTCATCTCCTATGATCACAATGCCTTCCTGTGGAATATCTCCTGAAGGACCTACCTGAGGCTGTTCTACAGTTAACTTTTTTAATAAGTAGAAAGATAATGCTAAAAAGTATAGCATAGTAATACATAAATGAGTAACATAGTCATTTATTTGTATTACATACTATACTGAATTGTATGTGCTATACTTTTGTAAGACTGTCAATGCAGCAGATGTGTTTACACCAGCATCACCACAAACACTTGAGTAATGCATTGCGCTACCATGTTACAATGGCTACTACGTCACTATGTGATAGGAATATATATATATATATCTATCATTTTTTTTTCCCCTAGTAGAGATGAGGTCTCATTAAGTTGCCCAGCCTGGTCTCAAACTCCTGAGCTCAAGTGATCCTCCCACCTTGGCCACCCACAGTGTTAGGATTACAGGCGTGAGCCACCACGCCCAGCCCCTTATAATTTTATGGGACCACCATTGTATATGTGGTCCATCGTTGACCAAAACATGATTCAGCTCACAACTGTAATTTTTTCTATTTCACTATACATCAAATTCTTACTCTTTAAACTTTTAAATGCACTAAACTTTAACTAAAAATTACCACTTACCTGTACTTCTCTGACAACCTGCAAACAATCAGGCAAGGAGAAGCCAATAGGTAGACCAACTTTAGCTGGTGTTTTGAATTTGTCTCCTGTCTTAAATGGGACATCATCAAGGTAACTGAAAGTCCCTATAATCAAAAATAAAGTAGAAAATATCAGCAAAGAACTTCATTATTTGTTTTGCCATAATCTTATGTCTAACGGATATGCATTAATTTTTGCTATCCTAAGTCTAGAAGTTACAGAGTTCCTTCTCTGACTGCTTACCTTTTCCTTGACCCTAAATCTCTGAGAAGGAAATTCTACTGATTCAGTCTTATTAGGAGTTTATTTTCAATGGCACTTAGTGTAAAAGCCAAAGTACTCACATCACCCACAGCCTCTCTGCCCTCATCTCCTTACAGTCATCCTCTGGCTCACTGTACTAAGTAATGGTGACTGCTGCTTTTAAAGATGACAGGCTTAATCCACCTCAAATACTCTGTACCAACTGTTCCTTCTAACTGGAACACTCTTCTGTCACATGACTCACTCCTTCAAGTTTTTGCTCAAATGTTACCCTCTCAGTGAGGCTTACCCTGACCCGCCCTACTTAAAAGTACTACCCCACCCTCACTACAATACTCTCATATTACCATTTACCTTTTCCCCATAACACTTATTGCCTTCTAACATTATAAATTGACTTTTTAATTATATTTATTGTTTCTCTTTCCCAAAGAAATATAGGGCAAGTATTTAAGTCTATCTTATTCAATGACATATTTTCAAAACCTTCAGTATTGCCTGGCACACATCAGCATTTAATAAATACTGAATGGATGAGACTCCCCAGAAAAGAATCTCCTTGATTAGGATTCTCTACTTTAGAAAAAAATCATTTTCAATTAATATAAAGAATTACTCCCAGCCTGACCAACATGGTGAAACCCCGTCTCTACTAAAAACACAAAAACTGGCCAGGCATGGTGGTGCATGCCTGTAAACCCAGCTACTCAGGAGGCTAAGGCAGGAGAATCGCTTGAACCCAGGAGACGGAGGTTGCAGTCAGCCGAGATCGCGCCACTGCACTCCAGCCTGGGCAACAGAGCAAGACTCTGTCTCAAAAAAAAAAAAAAGAAGAGAAAGAATTACTCTAGCTTAAAAAACACTACATTCTAGAACAACATGGAAATCCTTAAGCAGCACAACACTTACATGAAAAGGGGAAAACCCGACAAAATCATGGGATTCTGAGTAAGATCATCAGGAGCACAAGCCATACACAATGGAGCTGCTTTAATCTCCTACAGGTTCTTTGCCCATCATAACTGAACAACATGGAAAGACCAGAACATGACCATCTATTCACGGGGTCAGATAAAAGGAAAACGCCTCTTATATGAGACTCTCGATAGCTATATACTCCAAACAGGGCCATGTTTTCTTTTCTGGAGCAGCTCTGGGAGGCTAATTTACAGGCAGAACCATTGTGGACAATGAAATACAGTTGATAAAATAAATTTTGTTTTTCAACATTGGCAGCTGGTAAAGGAAGGTTTACCTCTCAGCCTCACACTATTTTCTTGGGTGCTCACAGACACAGAACAAGACAATTATACCTCTTCCATGAAGATGACTTCTTTCCTTACGAAAACTGTGTAGATCTCAAGAATTATCAAGGTCAGAAAATATTTGTAATCTTGTCATCACTCCCATTTCCTGGGATAGGTATTCTGCAGATACACCTGAAACTCTCCATTAGGAAGAATGCCCCCTACTCCCAACCCTTGGGGGAATGGGTGTCTTTTCCATCTCTTTCCCATCTAACTTCTGGCCAGAACTAAAACATTTGAACTATCGCTCACTTAGCTAGCAAATTAAATTTACAACTGTGATCAATTTAGTAATTTAACACTCTAGGAAATCACCATATTTATTAACACCCTAGGAATTTTCCAAGTGTGGTCATCCTTTTAGATGTGCTAATTTCATGGCTGGCAATGCCTATCACATTCCTACCCTTATTTACTTGAGTAATTATTATTTAGCCCTTTAAGAAGAAACTCAGGCCGGGTGCAGTGGCCCATGCCTGTAGTCTCACCCCTTTGGGAGGCCAAGGCAGGTGGATCATCTGAGGTCAGGAGTTCTAGACTAACCTGGCCAACATGGTGAAACCCCCTCTCTACTGAAAATACAAAACTGCACCGGGCGTAGTGGCACACGCCTGTAGTCCCAGCTACTTGGGAGGCTGAAGCAGGAGAACTGCTTGAACCTAGGAGGCGGAAGGTGCAGTGAGCCTCAAGAACGACTCCTTTCTCAACCTCAGAATAGCCAGTTAATACTACCACCTTAGGACTTACCTCTTTGTATTGTTAATAGTTCATTTCCTTAACCTCCCTTCAGAGAGTCTGAGCAAGAATTTGAGTGTCCCGGCCGGGCACAGTGGCTCACGCCTGTAATCCCAGCACTTTGGGAGGCTGAGGTGGGCGGATCATGAGGTCAGGAGATCAAGACCATGGTGAAACCCCGTCTCTACTAAAAATACAAAAAATGAGCCGGGCGCAGTGGGGGCGCCTGTAGTCCCAGCTACTGGGGAGGCTGAGGCAGAAGAATGTCGTGAACCCGGGAGGCGGAGCTTGCAGTGAGTCAAGATCGCACCACTGCACTCCAGGCTGGGTGACAGAGCGAGACTCTATCTCAAAAACAAACAAACAAAAAAAAAAAACAAAAAAATTTTGAGTGTCCCTTAACAGGGGAGAAATGTTTCATATCTATATCACCAAAACTCAGTATAATGTATGGCTCATGGAATTTGTTCAATGAATGAAGAACCAATAATAAAGACATGCTTTTGGCCGGGACCGGTGGCTCACGCCTGTAATCCCAGAACTTTGGGAGGCCAAGGCAGGTGGAGGTCATGAGTTCGAGACCAGCCTGGCCAACAATGGTGAAACCCCATCTCTACTAAAAATACAAGAAATTAGCCAGACATGGTGGCACATGCCTGTAATCCCAGCTACTCGGGAGGCTGAGGCAGGAACCTGGGAGGCAGAAGTTGCAGTGAGCCAAGAACGCACCAGTGCACTCCAGCCTGGGCAACAAGAGTGAAACTCCATCTCAAAATAAATAAATAAATAAAGACATGCTTTTATACTTCTTCTGGATTCAATCTAACCCCGACCCCAACACACACACACACACACACACACACACACACACACACACACACACACATAATTTTTTTAAAGAGACATTTGCCCAGGCTGGAGTGCAGTGGTGCTATCATGGCTCACTGCATCCTTGCCCTCTGGGTCCCAAATAATCCTCCCACCTCAGCCTCCTGAGTAGCTAAGACAGGGTCTCATTATGTCGTCCAGGCTGGTCTCCAACTCCTGGGCTCAAGCATTCTTCCCGCCTCGGCCTCTCAAATTGCTGGGATTACAAGCATGAGCTATCACACCCAGTTCCAACTTATATTTAATATGAAAATTGAAAATTATTTGCCCAAAAATGACAAGGCTAGTCATGAAAATGTTTTTAACAGATTACTCATACATGATACAAGCATATGTCTGAGATCTGAACAAAGTTACAAAAATGTACCAGACAGATGTCATCCCCCGCCCCAGCACCACCAAAAAAGTGCCGGGTGCCATCACAGCTTACCAACAAAACTAAGTGTTGATTACAACACTTAAACTCTATGGCACTTATAAAATGCTTATATTTTAAAAGATTAGAACAAAAGCTCTTTCTAATTTTAAAGAATTTTTGTCTGTTTTCTTTGAAAATAGGGACTCAAATGTTATTGAAAGATTCTAACTTTGGCTAGTATCCTGATTAACTGGAAACAAAGCTGAAACTTTGGCACTAAGAATCATTGGAAAGATTTACAGTCAAGTTAACAAGCACACAATTAAGTCTTTTGTTTAACACTAATAAGCACAGATGATACACAAAAATGATAAAATCTATCCACATTAATAATAACTATATTTGGCCAGGTGCGGCAGCTCACGCCTGTAATCCCAGCAATTTGAGAGGCCAAGGCAGGCGGATCATGAGGTCAGGAGTTCGAGACCAGCCTGGCCAGCATGGTGAAACCCCGTCTCTACTAAAAATACAAAAAAATTAGCTGGGCATGGTGGCGTGCCCATGTAATCCCAGCTACTCGGGAAGCTGAAGCAGGAGAATTGCTTTAACCCGGGAGGCAGAAGTTGCAGTGAGCTGAGATCACACCACTGCACTCCAGCCTGGGCGACAGGGCGAGACTCCATTTCAATAATAATACTAATAACAACTAAATTTTCTTAAATAACCAAGTTCTATTGTAGATTGGTAACAAGGAGTTGGAGAAAAACTACAAAAGTACTGTGCTAAAGATATGAGGCCAGCGTGGTGGCTCACGCCTG
This sequence comes from Homo sapiens, assembly GCF_000001405.40. Taxonomy (NCBI): domain Eukaryota; kingdom Metazoa; phylum Chordata; class Mammalia; order Primates; family Hominidae; genus Homo; species Homo sapiens. The sequence goes on along the minus strand of NC_000009.12, from coordinate 34,229,949 downwards.
TAATCCCAACACTTTGGGAGGCAGAGGCGGGTGGATCACCTGAGGTCAGGAGTTCGAGACCAGCCTGGCCAACATGGTAAAACCCCGTATCTACTAAAAATACAAAAATTAGGGGCCAAGCATGGTGACTTATGCCTGTAATCCCAGCATTTTGGGAGGCCGAGGCAAGCAGATCATGAGGTCAGGAGATTGAGACCATCCTGGCCAACATGGTGAAACCCCATCTCTACTAAAAATACAAAAAATTAGCTGGGCGTGGTAGCACGTTCCTGTAATCCCAGCTACTCAGGAGGCTGAGGCAGGAGAATCTCTTGAACCAGGGAGTCAGAGGCTGCAGTGAGCCGAGATGGCTCCACTGCACTCCAGCCTAGTGACAGAGCAAGACTCCATGTCAGGCCGAGTACAGTGGCTCATGCCTGTAATCCCAGCACTTTGGGAGGCTGAGGTGGGAGGATCACGAGGTCAGGAGATCAAGACCATCCTGGCCAACATGGTGAAACCCCATCTCTACCAAAAATACAAAAATTAGCCGAGCATGGTGGTGTGTGCCTGTAATCCCAGCTACTCGGGAGGCTGAGGCAGGAGAATCGCTTGAACCTGGGATGCAGAGGTTGCAGTGAGCCAAGATCACGTCATTGCACTGCAGCCTGGGCAACAGAACAAGACTCCATCTCAAAAAAAAAAAAAAAGATAAAAATCCTATAAGAGAAGTGATCTCCTTGCCTACCTTTCACGTAGCAAACTACTACAGTGTGATATACACTGACAAACTTATATTCTATAAATGAAACTAGGTCCTGGCTTAGGGACAGAAAAGATGAGGTAGAATACCTTTAAAGGGCTGCCGTTTCCCTTCACTAGCACCAATTGCAGGTATCTGGTTTAAAAATCAGTTTCCTTTCACTAATAAAGCCAATGCCAAGGTGATTTATTTAGTACATCCCCCAACCCTCCAGGGTCTTCGTACTTTAAAAGCTTTATTAAGAGAGAATGAACAAATAGTTCAGTGATTACTGGAAGGAGGAGGTAGGGATAAAGGGCAAAAAGGCATTTAAAGAGATGGGAACGTGGCCAGGCACAGTGGCTCACAGCTGTAATCCCAGCACTTTGGGAGGCCAAGGCGGATAGATCACTCAAGGTCAGGATTTCAAGACCAGCCTGGCCAACATGGTGAAACCCCCGTCTCTACTAAAAATACAAAAAAAAAAAAAAATTAGCTAGGCATGGTGATGCACGCCTGTAATCCCAGCTACTCGGGAAACTGAGGCAGGAGGATCACTTGAACCCAGGAGGCGGAGGCGGCAGTGAGCGAAAATCACGCCACTGAACTCCAGCCTGGGTGACTGAGACTCCATCTCCAAAAAAAAAAGGGGGGGGGGGAAACAAAGAAAGCAGTATTTGTAATAATGGATAGAGACCACCGTAAGTACTATTAATGATGGTGCTGTGAGAATTACAAAATATATGTCTTCCAAATATAACCAATTATGCCTCAGGAATTAGCTTTTCTTTTTCTTTTTTTTTTTTTTTTTGAGATGAAGTCTCGCACTGTCGCCCAGGCTGGAGTGCAGTGGCACAATCTCGGCTCACTGCAAGCTCCGCCTCCTGGGTTCACGCTATTCTCCTGCCTCAGCCTCCTGAGTAGCTGGGACTACAGGTGCCTGCCACCACGCCTGGCTAATGTTTTGTATTTTTAGTAGAGATGGGGTTTCACCGTGTTAGCCAGGATGGTCTCGATCTCCTTACCTCATGATCCGCCCACCTCGGCCTCCCAAAGTGCTGGGATTAAAGGCGTGAGCCATCGCACCCAGCTTCTTTTTTAAGACAGGGTCTTGCTCTCTCACCCAGGCTGGAGTGCAGTGACGTCATCACCACTCACTGCAGCCTCATTCTCCTGGGCTCAAGTGATCCTCCCACCTCAGCCTCCTGAGTAGCTGAGACTACAGGCATGCACCACCATGCCCAGCTAATTTTTTAAATTTTTTTGTAGAGCTGAGGGCTCACTTTGTTGCCCAGGCTGGTCTCAAATTCCCAGACTCAAGCAATCCTCCCACCTCAGCCTCCCAAAGTGGAATTGTCCATTTTTATCCAATGTATCTAGAATTTAAAATATTATAGCTAACAATTTTCTGCCTCAACCTCAAATACCTTTTAGTTTCAGTCCTTATTACTGAAAATCTTCCTAAAATATTTGCACCCATTTTCCTAAGTTCAATTTTTTAAATAGCCACTAAGTGCATGCCTCATGGCTGCGGTTGTGGCAGTTCCTTGAAGTTAGGTTCTGCATACCACTTTGGTGGAAGATAGTGAGTGGGCTGAATATGTAATGACTCAGGATAAACTCTGGGAAGACTTCATTTGCTTTGTTTCTTTCTAAATTGCTGATATGCCTATGATTCTGCAATCTGCCCGTTTTTTCTAAAAAAAGTACAATTCCAGGTGGGGGGAGAAATCCCCAATAGAGGATAGCAAATGCATAATATTTAATTCAGGTATTATTGTGAGGAGATTCAAATTGAGGTTTTTTTAAAAAGAAGATCAAACTTAAAATTAAGTGAAAATCTGTAATTCCATGACTGGTTATCACCATCTTAAAGCCATCAGCGCCTCCTGCAGCAAAGGACTTAAAAATAAATAAATAAATAAATAAAACAAAAAAAACTATCTTAAAGCCACAAGCCAGGTAACACTGGCAAAATCATAAATATACAAAATAACATAGATATCTGTTGTAAGATGTGAAATCACAAGAAAATGTTACTCATATCCTAACAACAAAACAAGCCATATAATCTACAAAATCAGCTTTTTAATATACATTGTCTGGCATTCAATTAAAAATTATAAGACACAGAAAGAAGCAAGAAAATGTGATCCAGAATTAAGAGAGGAACCAGTCATCAGACCCAAATTCAGGGAGAGCCAAGATATTGTAAACATCAGACAGGGAGCTTTAAAATAACAATAATAAATATGTTAAAGGGTCTAATGGAAAAACTAAACATGTGTGAGCAGATGGGAACTTCAGCAGAGAGATGGAAATATAAAGAGACAAATGGAAATGCCACAAGTGAAAAATGCATTATCAGAAAAGAAAAATTTTGATGGTTCATAAACCAGGCTATGCTAATCCGAAGACAATAATCAGCATAAGAAAGACTTGGGACTTGAAGTTAGGTCAAAAGAAATTAGCCAAACTGAAATACAAAGAGAGAAAAAGGGAAAAAAAAAATTGAACAGTGTTAAGAGATATCTGGAACAATACCAAACAACCTAATGCATATGTGATCATAGCTCACTATAACCTTGAACTCCCAGGCTTAAGCAATCCTCCTGTCCCAGGCTCCTGAGCAGCTAGGACTATAGAGAAGCTCCACCACACCTGGCTAATTTTTAATTTTTTGTAGAAACAAGGCCAGGCGCGGTGGCTCATGCCTGTAATCCCAGAACTTTGGGACGCAGACGCAGGTGGATCACCTGAGGTCAAGAGTTCAAAACCAGCCTGGCCAACATGGCGAAACCCTGTCTCTACTAAAAATACAAAAATTAGCCAGGCATGGTGGTGCGCACCTATAATCCCAGCTACTCAGGGGGCTGAGACAGGAGAATTGCTTGAGCAATTGCTTGAGGAGGCAGAGGTTGCAGTGAGCAGAGATGGCACCACTGCACTCCAGCATGGGCGACAGAGCGGGACTCCATCTCAAAAAAAAAAAAAAAAACAAGAAACGGGGTTTTTCTATGTTGCCCAGGCTGGTCTCAAACTCCTGGCCTCAAGCAATCCCTCCAGCCCACCACACACACACACACACACACACACACACACACACACACACACACACACACAATAGAGTAGGAGGAAACTTTAGAAGGTAATGAATGTTTATGCCTTAATGATGGTGATGGTTTCATGAGTGTATACTTATCCTCAAACTCATCAAGATGTATACATTAAACATGTAAATATGTACAGCTTTTTATATATCAATTATACCTCGATAAAGTGATTTAAGGAGGGGGGCTAGTTTTATCAAATCTTATCACGGGGTCTATTTTTTCATAAATTAGAGTCTCAACACATTTTCCAGATAAATAACCTTTCTCCTAGATGAAAATAAGAATCAGTGAAAGAGGATTGAGATTTCTTTTTTCTTTTCTTTTTTTTTTTTTTTTAAGATGGCGTCTTGCTCTGTCACCCAGGCTGGAGTGCAGTGGTGTGATCTCGGCTCACTGCAAGCTCTTCCTCCTGGGTTCACGCCATTCTCCTGCCTCAGCCTCCCAAGTAGCTGGGACTACAGGCACCAGCCACCATGCTCGGCTAATTTTTTTTTGTATTTTTAGTAGAGACAGGGTTTCACCATGTTAGCCAGGATGGTCTGGATCTCCTGACCTCATGATCCGCCTGCCTCAACCTCCCAAAGTGCTGTGATTACAGGCATGAGCCACCGCGCCCAGCCAGAGGATTGAGATTTTAAAGCACCAGGCTCCAAGAAAGTCCTTATCCAAACTAAGCGAAGGGTATGGAGTTTTTATAAGAAATGGATAATATTTCTAGAAGTTTGAGAAATAACTGTTTGTTTCCCTTATTCTGTTATTTAGGGATATATGGTCACTAGTAACAGTGAAGTTGTTCAACTTTAGTTGAAAATAATGAACTCAGAGGTAAATCAAGTGCTAGTCAAAGACAGCACAGCACCAGACCTAGTCAGTCCCAAATATTAAAAAGAAAAAAAAATACATTTTAATATCCGTCATGACAGCAGTTATTACCTCCTTGTCCACACCCCAAGTGCCACAGAAAAGTTACCCACATCCATTAACCTCTCAATGGATCAGTCAGATATCTAACTTTGGAGGACCAATCCACAGGCTCATAAGCTAAGAAGGCTATGCCATCAGTTTGCCTTGACCAAAAGATATAAAATCTCTATCTCTATGATGCTAGCCACTGAAACTGAAAGATCAAGTAGCAAGCAGCACCTTAACTGGGGTGGCCATTTATAGCCCTGTGTACTCTACACTATTAGGCCAAGAAAGCAAGTCTATGAACTGAATAATAATGGATCACAGACACAGAGACATATAGTGAAGAAAGGCTAAGCAGCTTCCTGAGAAGTGGAAGGAGTAGCCTTAGTTCCTGGCTTTCTAATTTTAGCCTTGAGAGAGCAGAAACTTTATTTTCTGTACTCACATGCCTGCACAATTGCCTATTAAATATTCTCCATCTACTGCCTTTCATTTCTATTATTTAAACTACCTGATATCTAAAAATAGGATACTTTACTCTAAAAACCCAACTAGCTCTTTCCAGCCAGCGCCGAGCAATGGGCATCTCTCGGGAGAACTGACACAAGCACCGCAAGACCGGGGGCAAGAGAAAGCCCTACCACAAGAAGCGGAAGTATGAGCAGGGGTGCCCAGCTGCCAACACCAACATTGGCCCCTGCCACGTCCACACAGTCCATGTTTGAGGAGGTAACAAGAAATACCGTGCCCTAAGGCTGCATGTAGGGAATTTCTCCTGGGGCTCAGCGTTGTATTTGCAAAACAAGGATCATCGATGTTGTCTACAATGCGTTTAATAACGAGCTGGTCCATAACAAGACCCTGGTGAAGAATTGCTTCATGCTCATTGACAGCACACCATACTCATCGACAGCACACCGTATGGACAGTGGTACGAGTCCCACTATGCGCTACCCCTGGGCCACAAGAAAGGAGACAAGCTGACTCCTGAGGAAGAAGAGATTTTAAACAAAAAATGATCTAAAAAATTTCAGAAGAAATCGATGAAAGGAAAAAAAAAGGCCAAAATCAGCAGTCTCCTGGAGGAGCAGTTCCAGCAGGGCAAGCTTCTTGCGTGCATCACTTCAAGGCCGGGACAGTGTGGCCAAACAGACGGCTATGTGCTAGAGGGGAAGGAGTTGGAGTTCTATCTTAGGAAAATCAAGGTCCGGAAAGGCAAATAAATCCTCGTTTTGTCTTCACCCATGTAATGAAGGTGTTTATTGTTTTGTTCCCAAAAAAAACCCAAAAAACAAAAAAACAAAAACAAAAAAAACAAGTAAAGCCAGTGAAATTCAACCAGGAACTCAGCAAAAAGAGCCCTGTTAAAGGAGAAGCAGCCTAAGGGAGAAAGAAAATTTTTCTCCTAAATTTTACTCAGGTAGAAAGTTTCATTTAAACAATAACACTTTGGGCCGGGCACGGTGGCTCACGCCTGTAACCCCAACACTTTGGGAGGCCAAGGCAGGCGGATCACGAGGTCAGGAGATCGAGACCATCCTGGCTAATACGGTAAAACCCCGCCTCTACTAAAAAATACAAAAAAATTAGCTGGGCATGGTGGCAGGCACCTGTAGTCCCAGCTACTCGGGAGGCTAAGGCAGAGAATGGCGTGAGCCCAGGAGGCAGAGCTTGCAGTGAGCCAAGATCGTGCTACTGCACTCCAGCCTGGGCGACAGAGCGAGACTCTGTCTCAAAAACAAACAAACAAACAAACAAAATAACACTTTGGTTAAGAATTCTTTTTTTTTTTTTTTTGAGATGGAATGGAGTGCATTGGCACCATCTCAGTTCACTGCAACCTCTGCCTCCCAGGTTCAAGCGATTCTCCTTCCTCAGCCTCCCGAGTAGCTGGGATTACAGGCATGCGTCACTACACCCGGCTAATTTTGTATTTTTAATAGAGACAGGGTTTCTCCATGTTGGTCAGGCTGGTCTTGAACTCCTGACCTCAGGTGATCCGCCCGCCTCGGCCTCCCAAAGTGCTGGGATTACAGGCGTGAGCCACCATGCCCAGCCTGGTTAGGAATTTAAGGAGATATGGGAAATACCAGTCTTTATGAACAGACACCTTCAGAATTATAATCTTCTCTCTGGAATGTTCAGTTGAAACACAAAACATGTGGTCCAACTATTTTCAGTCTGATCAAAACAGATGTTCCAAAGATTCAAAACAGAAAGTCTATCTTTTGAAATAAGTGTAAATTTTTCATTTTTGCTATTTTCTCTCCCTAAGCTTTTCCTCTGCCCTTGGCTCTGTCCTCTCTTTTCTCCCTTGAAAAGGTAGGATCTAGAGGGAATTCAGATCTGCCTTTTTTTCCCTTTTTCTTTTCTTAAGCTCAGTGGCAAGAATCATTTTTTGTTTGTTTGTTTGAGACAGGCTCTCATGTGATTCTGGCTGGAGTGCAGTGGCGTGATCATGGCTCACTGCAGCCTTGACCTCCCGGGCTCAGCACTACTCCCACCTCTCAGCCTCCCGAGTAGCTGAGACTACAGGCACATACCAGCATACCCAGCTAATTTTTAAAATTTTTTTGTAGAGACAGCGTCTCACTATGTTGCTGAGGCTGGTCTTGAACTCCTGGCCTCAAGCGATCCTCTCACCTCAACCTCCTAATCTACTGTTGGGATTACAGGCATGAGCCACCGTGCCCTGCCCAGATCTGCCTTTCTACTATCATTTGAATACTTTTAAGAAGACCTGTAATAATCCATAAATAATAGGAAATAGCTCACCTGAAAAATAAGATGCCTGACCTCTTTAAGGAATGCTAATTCCAGAGTTTGAATAACTTCAAAAGGATTTTTAAAAACTCAGGCAGGTTATCTATGTAAGTATATGCACACTGACAAATCAAAATTCAAAGGCTGTTGTGTAAAATATATAAGCAAGTAAAATCACAATCACCGCTACACCACTCTGACTCAGCTGAGTGATCTTATCAAGCAACCACTGGCAGCTCAGAAGAGCATACCAACACGTCCCCAGGCAGTCTAGTAAATCATTCTTAAAATGATGTGATATATATATGTATTTTTTTTGTTTGAGTCAGGGTCTCACTCTGTCACCCAGGCTGGAGTGCAGTGGCATGATCACTGCAACTTCAAACTTCTGGGATCAAGCAATCCTCCCACCTTAGCCCCCTGAGTAGCTGGGACTGCAGGCACATGCCACTGTGCCTGGCTGATATAATTTTTAACATGGAAGATTGGCTTTAAAACCTCTCTTAAAATAATTGTGTTACTTGGCTACTTCTGGTTTTAAATTCTTACCTTCTACTGTATGAAAAAAGGGTATAATTTTAACTTCTTAGCTACCTCCACCTCCCTCCATTCCCCTCCAAAGGCAGATAGTAGTTTATTATTGTATTCCATTTTGGAAGGTTGTATCTTAGGAAAAGATGACAGAGAAACTCTTAATTTCAAATTCAAAATTATAAATATCAGTATTGATACCTCTGTAATATAGTGATTGATTTGTAGTAAATTACTTCCTTTGATGGGGCACAGGGAACTAAACTAAAACATTATAAAGCATTAACCAAAGGGTTAGAATTTTTCACACACACACATATGGAGAAGAGCTATGACCAAGGAACAGGAAAGGGAAAGGTAACTATACCTTTTTTTTTTTTTTTTTAATGGAGTCTCGCTCTGTCCCCCAGGCTGGAGTGCAGTGGTGCGATCTCGGCTCACTGCAAGCTCCGCCTCCCGGGTTCACGCCATTCTTCTGCCCTCAGCCTCCCGAGTAGCTAGGACTACAGGCGCCCGCCAACACGCCCGGCTAATTTTTTGTATTTTTAGTAGAGACGGGGTTTCACCGTGTTAGACAGGATGGTCTCGATCTCCTGACCTCGTGATCCACCCGCCTCAGCCTCCCAAAGTGTTGGGATTACAGGCTTGAACCACCGCGCCCAGCCAGTAACTATACCTTCAATGCTGCTGAAGAACCAGAACAGGCAGACTCCTAATCTATCACTAGTAGTTTCAAGTACAATAACCAGAGACACTCTAAAGTTTAACTACCCATTTGAAGAAATACTTCAAGTTCTCTGAAGACCTTTCAGATATACTTGATACATTGTTGTACAACTTTATTTTTGTCAAGCTGTTCATTAAAAGAGACAAAAAGGGGCACTTGTACTTAAAACTATGCTAAGTGATTCCAAATCCTCTGATCAAATCATAACTTAAACCATGATTCTAATAGTCCACTTACCATGAAAATCTGCACCCAACTTCTTAGAAGCCATTTAGAACCTGAAAAACAAGGAAATATTTCTTAGGCACATTATACCTTGAAGGTAGTACGAAGAAAATTGAGAGTACAAAAAAGAAACCAGAAGACCTAAGGTTTTAGGGCTGACAGAATCCTCACGTCTCACTCCCAAAGTCCAAAAAAAAGATCCAGGCACTGTGGCTCATGCCTGTAATCCCAGTGCTTTGGGCGGCAGAGGTGGGAGGATCACTTGAGCTCAAGAATTTGAGACCAGCAACATAGTGAGACCCCATCTCTATATTAAAAAAATTAAAAATTAGCCGAGGCCAGGCTTGGTGGCTCACTCCTATATCCCAGTACTTTGTGAGGCCGAGCTGGGAGGATCACTTGAGCACAGGAGTTCGAGACCAGCCTGGGCAACATAGGGAGACCCTGTCCCTATAAAAAATTGAAAAAATTAGCTGGGTGTGTTGGCATACACCTGTAGTCCCAGCTACTTGGGAGGCTGAGATGGGAGGATCGCTTGTGCCCGGGAGATTGAGGTTGCAGTGAGCCACTGCACTACAGCCTGGGCAACAGAGCGAGACCCTGTCTCACACACAAAAATAATTAATTAATGAAAATCAAAAATTCGCTGGGCGTGGTGACGCATGCCTATTGTCCTAGCTACTTGGGAGGCTGATGTGAGATGATCACTTAAGCTCAGGATTTGAGGCTGCAGTGAGTTAAGAAGGTGCCACTGAACTCTAGCCTGTGCAACAGCACAAGACCCTGTCTAAGAAAAGAGAGGAGAGGGCAGGAGAGGAAAGGGGAGGGGAGGGGAGGGGAGGGGAGGGGGAGGGAAGAGGGGAGGGGAGGGGGAGGGAAGGGGAGGGGAGAGGGGAGAGGGGAGGGGGAGGGGAGGGGAAGGGGAGGGGAGAGGAGGGGAGGGGGAGGGGTAGGGGGAGGTGGGAGGGGAGCAGAGGGGAAGGGAGAGGGAAGGGGGAGGGGAGGGGAGAGGGGAGAGGGGAGAAGGGAGGGGAGGGGAGGGGAGAGGGGGGAGGTGGGAAGGGAGAGGGGAGGGGAAGGGAGAGGGAAGGGGGAGGGGAAGGGAGAGGGAAGGGGGAGGGGAAGGGGAAGGGAGAGGGAAGGGGGAGGGGAGAGGGGAAAGTGGAGATGGGAAAGGGGAGAGGAGAAGGGAGGGGAGAGGGGAGGGGAGGGGAGGGGAAGGGGGAGGGGGAGGGGAGGGGAAGGGAGGGGAGAGGAGAGGAGAGGAAAGGAGGGGAGGGGAGGGAGACAAGACAAAACTCAATGTTCACAGGGGCATTTTTTTCAGATTAGGGATGCTGAACCAATAAGTATGAGGCAAAAAGTTAGAAAATCTGAAATCTGAAACACTTCTGGTGCCAAGGATTTAGATGAGGGATACTCAACTTGTACATAAAAAATATTTACAATGGTTGCCTCCAAGTAATAGGACTGGAAATAATTCATAAAATATTTGTATTTCTGAACGTTATATGGTAACATCTATTAATTTGGTAGTTTCTTTTAAAACTTTTCTTGAAAAGTTTCTGTTTTCAGCCAGGCGTGGTGACTTACACATGTAATCCCACATTTTGGAAGGCTGAGGCAGGTGGATTACTTGAGCCCAGGAGTTCGAAGACCAGCCTGGGCAACATGGTGAAACCTCATCTCTACAAAGATACAAAAAATTTGCCGGTGTGGTGTTGCATGCCTGTAGTCCCTGCTACTCGGGAGGCTGAGGTAGGAGAATCACCTGAGCCCAGGAAGTCAAGGCTGCAGTGACCAGTGATTGTGCCACTGCACTCCAGCCTAGGCGACACAGCAAGATCCTGTTACCAAAAAGAAAAAAAAAAAGTTTCCATTTTTCAGCATGGTGTAGAGATAGAGTGTATTCTGTTTGATATTGTAGTTCATGGAGAATTAAATTTATAAAGTGTATGTATTATCAATTTTCAAAGAACCAGCAAACCATACTGAAAATGATTTAACCTTTTTATATGTGCAGAAAACATTCACAGGCATCTTGCTGTCACCCAGGCTGGAGTGCAGTGGCACAATCTTTATTGCAACCTCTGCCTCCCAGGTTCAAACAATTCTCATGCCTCAGCTTCCCTGAGTAGCTGGGATTACAGGAGTGTGCCATCACACCCGGCTAATTATTTTGTATTTTTAGTAGAAACGGGGTTTTGCCATGTTGGATAGGCTGGTCTTAAACTCCTGGGCTCAAGTGATCCACTCACCCCAGCCTCCCAAAGTGCTGCAATTACAGGCATGAGCCACTGCACCCGGTCTCACAGTGAGACTTCTAAAACCCAGAAGCAAGACTCTTAGCAGCCTCAACCTTCCCACGTAGGCACATACCAGAAATCTGTTTTCCTAAATTGGGAAAGTAGCGGTATCTAAACTTCCAGCAATGAGTTGTGAATATGCTCACAGACATATGCAGAAAATTAGTGTTTCATTTCTATAACCACAATAAAAATTGTGTGATATCAGCTGTTTGAAGAAGCAACTGTTGTTGAGGTAAAGAACTTGAGAGAGGCTGAGTCTTTGATTTAATAAATAATTTTCCAAACAACACCTAGAATATGCTGACACCAGGAATGTTATAAAGAAGTTCCACCAAAATTTAAATGGATGTGCTTGGCTTTTTTTTTTTTTTTTTTTTTTTTTTTTTTTTTTTTTTTTTTTTGAGATGGAGTCTCGCTCTGTCACCAGGCTGGAGTGCAGTGGCATGATCTCGGCTCACTGCAACCACCGCCTCCCGGGTTCAAGCCATTCTCCTGCCTCAGCCTCCGGAGTAGCTGGGACTACAGGCCCCCGCCACCACGCCTGGCTAATTTTTTGTATTTTTAGTAGAGACGGGGTTTCACCATGTTGGCCAGGATAATCTGGATCTCTTGACCTTGTGATCCACCCGCCTCGGCCTCCCAAAGTGCTGGGATCACAGACGCGAGCTACTGCACCCAGCCAGATGCTTGGCTTTTTTAAAAGGCTCAACTGTTCACCATAAAAAAATGAATGAAATCCAGCATGAGAATCACTTGAGGCTGGGAGACGGAGGTTGCAGTGAGCCGAGATGGTGCCACTGCACTCCAGCCTGGGCAACTCAGCAAGACTGTCTGTCTCAAAAAAAAAAAAAAAAAAAAAAAAAAAAAAGAACGAAATCCTGTCATTTATGACAATGTGAATGAATCTGCAGGACTTTGTGTTAACTGAAACAAGCCAGACACAGAAAGACAAATTTTGTATGATCTTACTCATACAGAATATAAAAAAGTTTATCTCATAAAGGCAGAGGCTTTTTTTTTTGTTACTCAGGTAACAAACCGCACATGTGCCCCCGAATCAAAATAAAAGTTGAAAAAACAAAAATTAAAAAAATTAAAAAAACCACCACCGCCACCAGCCAGGCACGGTGGCTCACGACTGTAATCTTAGAACTTTGAGAAGCCGAAGAAGGCAGATCACCTGAGGTCAGGAATTCGAGACCAGCCTGGCCAACATGGTGAAACCCAGTATCTACAAAAATACAAAAATTAGCCGGGCATGGTGGCACATGCCTGTAGTCTCAACTACTTGGGAGGCTGAGGCAGAAGAATCACTTGAACCCAGGAGGCAGAGGCTGCAGTGAGCTGAGATCATGCCACTGCACTCCAGCTTGGGCAACAGAGATTCTGTCTCAAAACAGTAACAACAATCACCTATGCTATCTGCCTAGGGCCATTCACAGGATGGTAAATCAGATGACTCCATTCTCTGACTGACCAAGGCTGATGGCATCCTCTCAAAGAACTTCTGACTGTGGAGAATCACAGATGTGGAATATTTATCATAAATAAATAGCAAACACCCTTCCCAAAAGAGTAGAGAGTATAATAGTAATTACCAGAGGCCGGAGAGGTGGGGAGGGTAGTAAAGGGAAGGGCAGGGAGTGGGATGGGGAGAAGTTGATGAATGATTAAAGTTACCATCACATAGGAAGAATAAGTTCTGGTATTCTATTGTACAGTAAGGTGACTACAGTTAACAATAATATATTCTATATTTCAAAATTAACTAGAGCTCAGGAGTTTGAGACCACCCTGGGTAATATGGCCAAACCCCATCTCTACTAAACATACAAACATTAGCCGAGCATGGTGGTACGCACCTGTAGTCCCAGCTACTTGGGAGGCTGAGGTGGGAGGATGGCTTGAGCCCAGGAGGCAAAGGTTGCCGTGAGCCATGATTAAGCCACTGCACTCCAGCTTGGGCAAGAGAGCCAGTCTCAAAAAAAAAAAAAAAAAAAAAAAAAAAATTAGCATGGTGTGGTGGTGCATGCCTGTAGTCCCAGCTAATCAGGTTCACTTGAGTCCAGGTGGTAAAAGGCTGCAGTGAGCTATGATCGCACCACTGCACTGCAGCCTGGGCAACAGAGTGAGACCCCAGCTCTAAAAAAAATTTAAAATAAAAAAAAGAAGACATAAAAGTTCACAAATATTGTGTGATGCCATTCATATGAGGTGTCCAGAAAGGGAAAATCCAAAGAGACTGAAAGCAGACTGGCGGTTGCCTGGGTCTGGGAAAGAGAAACTGTGTAGTTGGTAAGGGTCTCCTTTGGAGTGAAGGAAAGGTTTCAGAACCAGATATGGTGATTACACAACACTATGAGAGTACTAAATGCCACTAAATTGATCATTTTAACATGGTTAATTTCATGCTATGTGAATTTCACCTCAGTAAGTTTTTTTTTAAATTAAATTACAAAAAAAAAAATGGCAGAAAAAAATTGGCAGCAGAGAGGTGCTCCAGAGGAGAGGGCCAGAAAGACGCGTGTCAATAACTTCCAAGTTTGAAAATCAGAGAGGCAATGAGGCAGTGAACAACTAGATAGAAGACCACAAGGAATAGTAAATGAAAAATAAAATACAGTTCTCTTTATTAGTAAATAATGTAAAATTTTTTAAATCATGCCTCAATAGAGCTGATAAAATATTTTTTTCCCATATTATATATTATTTTCCACAGTCCTTAAGAATATGAGAAATCTATATTTGGGCACATAAAGATTTTTCTAAGGTCCACTATGCAGCAAAACTTCAGTCTCTCAAAGCTCAAAGGCATTTTAATACCTATTTAGGGTCAGTTTTCTTCCCCCAGAACATCTTTTATATATATGTACATACATGTATGTGTGTGTGTGTGTGTACATATATATATGTACACACGTTTCACCAATAACTTCCTATACTTTTTTAAACCCTTTTTTTATTATTTATTTTTCCATAAGTTATTGGGGTACAGGTGGTATTCAGTTACATAAGTTCCTTAGTGGTGATTTGTGAGATTTCGGTGCACCCATCACCCGAGCAGTATACGCTGCACCCTATTTGTGGTCTTTTATCCCTCACCCCCCTCCAACCCTTCCCCCCAGGTCACCAAAGTCCACTGTATCATTCTTATGCCTTTGCGTCCTCATAGCTTAGCTTTCACCTATCAGTGAGAACATTAGATGTTTGGTTTTCCATTCCTGAGTTACTTTACTTAGAACAGTCTCCAATCTCATCCAAGTCACTGCAAATGCTAATTCATTCCTTTTTACAGCTGAGCAGTATTCCATCATATATATATATATATGACACATATATACATACTTATATACATATATATACACACACACACACTATCATATATACATATATACACACAGCAGTTTATCCATTCGTTGATAGGCATTTGGGTTGCTTCCATGATTTTACACTTGTGAATTGTGCTGCTATAAACATACATGTGCAAGCATCTTTTTCAAATGACTTCTTTTCCTCTGGGTAGATATCCAGTAGTGGGACTGCTGGATCAAATGGTAGTTCTACTCTTAGTTCTTTAAGGAATCTCCACACTGTTTTCCAGAGTGGCTGTACTAGTTTACATTCCCACAGCAGTGTAAATGTGTTGCCTGATCACTGCATCCACGCCAACATCTACTGTTTTTTTATTTTTTTATTATGGCCATTCTTGCAGGAGTAAGGTGGTATCACATTGTGGTTTTGATGTGCACTTCCCTGATCATTAGTGATGTTGGGCATTTTTCATGTTTGTTGGCCATCTGTATATCCTCTTTTGAGAACTGTCTATTCATGTCCTTAGCCCACTTTTTGATGGGATTGTTTTTTTCTTACTGAGTTGGTTGTAGATTCTGGATATCAGTCCTTTGTCAGATGTATACATTATGAAGATTTTCTCCCACTCTGTGGGTTGTCTGTTTACTCTGCTGACTATTCCTTTTACTGTGCAAAAGCTCTTTAGCTTAATTGGGTCCCAGCTATTTATCTTTGTTTTTATTGCATTTGCTTTTGGGTTCTTGGTCATGAAATCCTCGCCTAAGCCAATGTCTAGAAGGGTTTTTCCAATGATACCTTCTAGAATTTTTTAT
Organism: Homo sapiens; assembly: GCF_000001405.40. Classification (NCBI taxonomy): domain Eukaryota; kingdom Metazoa; phylum Chordata; class Mammalia; order Primates; family Hominidae; genus Homo; species Homo sapiens. The sequence goes on along the minus strand of NC_000009.12, from coordinate 34,214,527 downwards.
AGCTTCAGGTCGTTAAGTCCTTAATCTATCTTGTATAGGATCCAGTTTCATTGTCCTACATATGGCCAGCCAATTATCCCAGTGCTATTGTTAAAAAGGGTATCCTTTCCCCACTTTATGTTTTTGTTTGCTTTGTCGAAGATCAATTGGCTGTAAGTATTTGGGTTTATTTCTGGGTTCTCTATTCTGTTCCATTGGTCTGTGTGCCTATTTTTATACCAGTACCGTGCTGTTTTGGTGACTATGGCCTTATAGTATAGTTTGAAATCAGGTAGTGTGATGCCTCCAGATTTGTTCTCTTTGCTTAGTCTTGCTTTGGCTATGCAGGTTCTTTTTTTGTTCCATATGAATTTTAGAAATGTTGTTTCTAATTCTGTGAAGAATGATGGTGGTATTTTGATGGGGATTACATTGAATTTGTAGATTGCTTTTGGCAGTATGGTCATTTTCACAATATTGATTCTACCCATCCATGAGCATGGGATGTGCTTCCATTTGTTTGTGCCATCTATGATTTCTTTCAGCAGTGTTTTGTAGTTTTCCTTGTAGAGGTCTTTTGACTCCTTAGTTAGGTATATTCCTAAGTATTTTTTTTTTTTGCAGCTGTTGTAAAAGGGGTTGAGTTTTTTATTTGATTCTCTGCTTGGTCACTGTTGGTGTATAGAAGAGCTTCTGATTTGTGTACATTAATCTTGTATCCAGAAACTTTGCTGAATTCTTTTATCAGTTCTAGGAGCTTTCTGGAGGAGGCTTTAGGGTTTTCAAGGTAAACGATCATATTGTCAGCAAACAGTGACAGTTTGACTTCCTCTTTACCAGTTTGGATGCCCTTTCTTTCTTTCCCTTGTCTGAATGTTCTGGCTAGGACTTCCAGTACTATGTTGAAGAGGAGTGGTGAGAACAGGCATCCTTGTCTTGTTCTAGTTCTCACAGGTAATGCTTTCCACTTTTCCCCATTCAGTATTAGGTTGGCTGTAGGTGTGTCATAGATGGTTGGGTTTTTTTGTTTTTGTTTTTGAGACAGAGTCTCGCTCTGTCGCCCATGCTGGAGTGCAATGGTGCGATCTCGGCTCACTGCAACTTCCACCTCCTGGGTTCAAGCGATTCTCCTGTCTCAGTCTCCTGAGTAGCTGGGATTGCAAGCGCCTGCCACCATGCCGAGCTAATTTTTGTATTTTTAGATGAGACGGGGTTTCACCATGTTGGCCAGGCTGGTCTCAAACTCCTGACCTCAGGTAATCCACCTGCCTCGGCCTCCCAAAGTGCTGGGATTACAGGTGTGATGTGAGCCACTGCACCTGGCCCAGAGATGGCTTTCATTACATTGAGGTATGTCCCTCGTATGCTGATTTTGCTGAGAGTTCTAATCATAAAGGGATGCTGGATTTTGTCAAATGCTTTTTCTGCATCTATTGAGATGATCATGTGACTTTTGTTTTTAATTCTGTTTATGTGGTGTATCACATTTATTGACTTAAATATGTTAAACCATCCCTGCATCCCTGGTATGAAACCCACTTGATCATGGTGGATTATCTTTTTGATATGTTGCTAGATTTGGTTAGCTAGTATTTTGTTAAGGATTTTAGCATCTATGTTCATCAAGGATATTAGTCTGTAGTTTTCTTTTTTGGTTATGTCCTTTCCTGGTTTTGGTAGGGTGATGCTGGCTTTATACAATGAATTAGGCATGGTTCCTTCTTTATCTTGTGGAATAGTGTCAGAAGGATTGGTACCAACTCTTCTTTGAATGTCTGGTAGAATTCTGCTGTGAAGCCATCTGGTCCTGGACTTTTTTGTTGGTAATTTTTAAATTACCATTTCAATCTTGCTGCTTGTTATTGGTCTGTTCAGGGTATCCAATTCCTCCTGATTTAAGCTAGGAGGGTTGTATTTTCCCTAAACCCATTTATTTTACAATACTCTCCTATTATCTAAATACTCAATTATGGAAAAATGATTAAATAATGGAAAATCCAGAAGATAACGTTGTGATGGCACTAAGAGTGTCTACTAAAGGCACATAACATAGGAGTAGACATGGAACTAAAAAAATTATTTTATTTTTAAAAAGCATATAATAAATAGAAAATAACTATAAGTGTGTGTGTGTGTGTGTGTGTGTGTGTGTGTGTTTTAATAGAAATGAGGTCTCACTATGTTAACCAGGCTGGTTTTGAACTTCTGAACTCAAGCTATCCTCCTGCCTTGGCCTCCCAAAGTGCTAGGATTACAGGTATAAGCCACCATTCCTGGCCAATAATTATAAATTTTAAAATGTTTTAATAAATTAAATTAAATTGCCTTATGTAAAAAATGTGCACAAAACAAGACTGAAAGAAATGTTTGCCACTAATGTAAAGCTATAATTAATCACAGGGAAAAAAATTTATAATCAATCATAAATTTCCACTAAAATAAGTATATGCTTCTATTAAAGGGAAAGTATCAATCAAAAATAACAATAAAACATATTCTTTTTCTTTTTTAGCTGGTGGTATGGATTGGAACACACATTCATAATTCAAGAACTTTTACACTAATAAAACTTAGAAATCCCAAAACCAACAACTTATCAGTGATATTCTATTTTTCCAGCTCAGTATCACTTCAGTTCAAATGCTACAGGAAGAAAACCCGGTAACTTAAAATCTGAATTACTGGTTAAAGACATCAGAAAAAAGAACAAAGAATAAATCTAAGAATAAAAAGAGATGGGGAAACAGGTAACAAGAGAAATGCAGGGAGAGAAGGAGGAGCCAGAATGAAAGAAGAAGAGATGGGTTAAGGAATGGGAAGAAATGGGAAAAGGAAAAGTTGAAGGAGGCAGGGATAGGAGACCAGGAAATTTTTAAAAAGTAATAATAAAAAACACCTTGCGAAGGACCAGGCCCTCTGAGAAGGGGAGGAGAAAGCCCAAGGGCAACTGTATTAATGTTCTCTCATTTTCACTTCCTTTCCTTTTGCATATCTGTCAAATTATTATAATACTCTCTAAAAATGCTTCCCAAAACAAAATAGCAACTCAGAATCTCAGTAAGCTATCAGTCACACTTCTAAAATAATAGCTGCAATCAGTAATTTCCCAAGATACAAATTAATCCAGGAAATTATCTAATTTACACAAAAAGATGGCTTTGGGAATCATCACATTTCAAGCCTGAAGAAAAATTAACTCCCATACAAGTCATAGCAACATTTATGTTTGTAACTGCTAGTAACATGTCAATATTAGGCTATAATATATTCATGAGAAAGAAGTTTTCTGTCTTCTCTCTGGGGTCTCAAAGGCATTTTGGAGCCTCAGCTCCCTCATCAGTAAAATAAAGGTAGTAGACTGAATAACCAGCCAACTCTAGATAGACCATAAATCTATAATGAGAGAATAAATGAAGGAAAAATATTCATGTTTCCAAATTAAATATTGAGTATTCAAGATAAATGATACCAATGTCTATATTGACAAAATTAAAAGCTAGCAATCATATGTTCATCATCCCATTTTTTTTCTTACTGATCCATAAAACCCAAGCCTGGAAACCATTCCCCTATACCACATATAAAGTAATCTCAAATGATTCTTATTATAAAAATTAACAAAAGATACTTTTATATACTGCCTGACATGCAGAAAGAGCTCCACAAAGGTTGACAAATTATTCAAACCAGCAACGATGTGTTTAAAGAAAAAAAAAGGTTGGTGAATTAAATATAACTTTCAAAAAGGCAAAACATTTCCAACCACTCTACCAGTAAACTAGTATACCTATAGAAAACATGTAAAAAAAAAAAATTTTTTTTTTTTTTAAAGATGGAGTCTCCCTCTGTCACTCAGGCTGGAGTGTGGTGACACAATCTCGGCTCACTGCAACCCTCTGCCTCCCAGGTTCAAGCAATCCTCCTGCCTCAGCCTCCCAGGTAGCTGGTACTACAGGCACACACCACCATGCCCAGCTAATTTTTTTGTATTTAGTAGAGATGGGTTTTTGCCATGTTGGCCAGGCTGGTCTCAAACTCCTGACCTCAGGTGATCCACCCATCTTGGCCTCCCAAAGTGCTGAGATTACAGGTGTGAGCCACCGCACCTGGCCAGAAAACGTAAATTTTTATTTGAACAGAATAGTATTAGAATATTTTTTTGTGTTAGTTAAGAACGTAACTGTGAAGACTGAATTCAATTTGTGAGGCCTTGCTTTCAGTCAGGTTAAGTCTGAGAATTAGCAAGAGACACTACTTTCAGGATCTATCACTGTCCACAAGCTCTGTGTTTGCAAAACTTAGCCCCCTTATTACTGTCCGCTGCACATCGGCGTACTTGGCTGAAAATGGAAGGCCAACAAGAGGTCACAGTACCCTGATTCATACTGAGGAACATTTCAATAGCTCCAGTAAGCTTTTCTTTATGCATCAATTTCTTTTAATTCAGCTGGAATAAAATACTGGTTCAGATTTTCCTAAGCACCCGTTTTATCGCAAATTAAAAAAGAAAATTGGAGTCACTAGCGTATAGAAACAAGATTTAATAGGCCCTGACATTGTGGAAAAGAGAGAAGTATGTTTATGTGGATATGGAAACAAATAAGGATAAGATATTTTTATAATGGTGGGATCACAAATTTAGCCTTTTGGTTTTTCCTTTTGTGCTGTTTTCCAGGTTTCCTGTACTGAGCATAGATGCATACATTTATCTATGATCAACACACACATACTTTGTAATTGGGGGAAAAAAACTGGTATGCAACAAGCACCTATAAGAGGATTAAAAGGAAATACAATAATATGTAATTCAACAGAGCGCTGGAAAAAACACAAACAAAAAAAAAAATAGGTAACTAATGAAAGATAACGACTTCAGAGAGAGAAAAAAGAACAAAGAATAAATCAGTGGTTTCTAGACCAGTAAGCATACAAATGACTCTAGGTTATAGACTTCATGGAGTACGTAACAGGTGTTTTACTTTATTAACAATAAAGAGTGCAAACCATTGTGTTTTACTTTATTAACAATAAAGAGTGCAAACCACTGAATATCAATACTGAATTGCCCCAAATAACATAGCATTACCACTCAAAAGGCAAAAATGATAGGAAACAAAAACTAGGCAGAAATAGATAACAAATCTAATTTAGCTCTAATCTAGATTTAATTTATATTGTTAGATCAAAAGCATCTTGAAAGCAGGACACACTTTTTAAAATACCCAAAGAACATGTTACAAAACTTGTGTAAATATTAGGACACAAAGAAAACCATGATAAATTTCCAAAATCAGAAGTAGCTGAGTCAGGCCAGGCGTGGTGGCTCACGCCTGTAATCCCAGCACTTTGGGAGGCGGCCAAGGCAGGCAGATCACTTGAGGTCAGGAGTTTGAGACCAGCCTGGCCAACATGGTGAAACTCCATCTCTACTAAAAATACAAAAAATATTAGCCAGGTCTCATGGCATATGCCTGTAATCCCAGCTACACGGGAGGCTGAGGCAGGAGAATGGCTTGAACCCAGGAAGCGGAGGTTGCGGTGAGCCGAGATCACGCCACTGCACTCCAGCCTGAGCAACAGAGTGAGACTCCACCTCAAAAAATAGAACTAAAATACGAAGCTGAGTTAATAACCAGCTTGATCTCGGCTCACTCCATCCAGGCTTGAGCCTCCACCATCCAGGCTCAAGCAATTCTCCCGCCTCAGCCTCCCGAGTAGCTGGGATTACAGGTACCCACCACCACACCCAGCTAATTTTTTTTTTTTTTTTTGAGACAGAGTCTCACTCTGTCGCCCAGGCTGGAGTGCAGTGGTGCCATCTCGGCTCACTGCAAACTCCGCCTCCCAGGTTCACGCCATTGACCTGCCTCAGCCTCCCAAGTAGCTGGGACTACAGGCGCCCGCCACCACGTCCGGCTAATTTTTTTGTATTTTTAGTAGAGACGGGATTTCACTGTGTTAACCAGGATGGTCTCAATCTCCTGACCTCATGATCTGCCCGCCTCGGCCTCCCAAAGTGCTGGGATTACAGGCGTGAGCCACCGCGCCCGGCTAATTTTTTTATTTTTAGTAGAGACAGGGTTTCACCATGGTGGCTAGGATGGTCTCGAACTCCTGACCTCAGGTGATCTGCCTGCCTCGGCCTCCCAAAGTGCTGGGATTACAGGCATAAGCCACTGTGCCCGGCCTCCAGTGGGATTTTAATGGATCCAAAATATAGAAAAGTGTCTAATTTGTATTTACAAAATGAGTATAATATTGGTGCCAAAAAACTTCGGAAAAATTGAATATATAAATACAGATATGAAAATCCTTGATTAAAAAAAAAAGTAACAACCAAAATTACCAGTACATTTTAGGAATAAACCATGTCCAAGTGAGATTTTTTGCATAAATACAGTCCAACACCAACATTAACAATTCTGCTGATATAATTCAGCATTAATGCTCAAAGAAGAAAAATCATATGGCTATCTCCTTTACATGAGTTTTAAAAAACAAAAAACTAATACCAAATACCAGATTATGCTGACTAGTGGGGAGACTACAGAAGTATTCCCACGAAGGACAGCAACAAGACAAAGATATCCATTATTATCACAATTGCTTAGCATTGTTATTTCATATTAGATGGGAGAAATAAAAAGCATAAAAACTCAGATAAGAAACTTTCCCAGGAAAACCCAAAAACTGACAAGAGAATACGATAAACTATTTCTGGATACAAAATTAATATTCTGAAACAAATTAATACTCTGAAACAGCCTTCATATATACATGGCCAGATAATAAATATAATGTGCTGAAACAAGAGAACTGCTTAAGCCCAGGAGTTCGAGTCCAGCCTGGGCAACATTGCAAGATCCCATCTCTTTAAAAAAAAAAAAGAAATAAATAAAAAGAAATATAAGAGAAACACACAACATACCAATATACCACAGCAGTTAAGAACTAGGAATAAACTGAAGACATAAAGGGAGAAAACTAAACCTGTACTGAAAGACACAAAAGAAAACTTAGACAATTAGAAAAACATACAATACTCTTGAGCGGGATATTCAACATTATTAAGATCAATTCTAAGTTGCTATACAAATTTGCCATGATGCAAATGAAAACTGAAGTACCATGTTTTTCTTTCTTTTTTTTTTTTTTTAATTAGACAAGCTGATTCTAAAGTTCATGTAGAAATAACAATTAAGCGGCCAGGCGTGGTGACCCACACCTGTAATCCCAGCACTTTGGGAGGCTGAGGTGGGTAGATCACCTAAGGTCAGGAGTTTGAGACCAGCCTGGCCAACATGGTGAAACCCCATCTCTACTAAAAATACAAAAATTAGCTGTGGCGGGAGCCCGTAATCCTAACCCACTCCAGAGGCTGAGGCAGGAGAATCACTTAAACCTGGGAGGCAGAGGTTGCAGTGAGCTGAGCTCACACCATTGCACTCCAGCCTGGGCGACAAGAGCAAAATTCCATCTCAAAAAAAAAAAAAAAAAAAAGAAATAACAATTAAGCAAACGCAGAAAAAAAAGAAAAAATCTCCGAAGAAAATGGAGACTAGCCTATCAGATATTAAAATATTAGAAGATACAATACTGAAAGCTGTGTCGTACTGGTACAAATACAGATTAGTGGAACAAAGTAGAAATCCCTAAAAATACCCAAAATATAAACATTTGGTATATAATAAAGCTGCTTTTTAAAATCAAGTCATGGGACAACTGGGTAGTCACCTAGAAAAAAGCAGAATCCGATGCTTGCTTCACACTGCATACCAAGATAAATTCCAGATGGATCAAAGGTATAGTAACATTATGCAACTGACCAAATGTAGAAATACTATTTTCACTCTACACATACAGCTAGCGAGCCAAAATAACCTAAGTTTCTAAGACTTCAAATTTAAGAAAATACCTGGCTTATGAAAAACTCGGAAAATGAAGGGTTTTGGTTTGTTTTTTTTTTAAGTCAAGATGCTGTAATACATAAGTTTTGTCACTAACTGATTTTAGTCTTACTTTTTTCTTTTCTTTTTTTTGAGACAGGGTCTCACTCTGTCACCCATGCTGGAATGCAGTGGCACAATCTTGACTCACTGCAGCCTCAACCTCCCGAGCTCAAGTGATCCTCCCACCTCAGCCTCCTGAGTAGCTGGGACCACAGGCACCCAACACCATGCTCGGCTAATTTTTTGTAGAGATGGGATTTTGCCGTTTGGCTCAGGCTTAGTCTTATTTTTCAAATGAGGTTTTACCAAAGTTATTAATTGTAAGGTATCCTTAAGGCTTATAAGCAAAGCAATTAGTGTCTACAACCAAACCACCCTGAACGCTCCTGATCTTGTCTGATCTCAGAAGCAGGGTTGAGCCTGGTTAGTACTTGGAAGGGAGAAACACAACTAGTGACTGAATACAAAGCTCATTTCAAATAGTTTAATAAAAACAGATTACAGTTGAAAAGCAACTCCCTAAAAATTACAAAGTGACAAATAAGTACATAAACTAGTACTGTAAACGCAAATTATTGACCCAAACTGTTTTTTGTTTGTTTGTTTTTTGAGACGGAGTCTCGCTCTGTCACCAGGCTGGAGTGCAGTGGCACGATCTTGGCTCACTGAAACCTCCACCTCCGGGGTTCATGCCATTCTCCTGTCTCAGCCTCCTGAGTAGCTGGGACTACAGGTGCCCGCCACCACACCTGGCTAATTTTTGTATTTTTAGTAGAGACGGGGTTTCACCATGTTGGCCAGGCTGGTCTCAATCTCTTGACCTCGTGATCCTCCCGCCTCAGCCTCCCAAAGTGCTGAGATTACAGACATGAGCCACCACGTCCTGCCAACCCAATCTGATTTCTTAAGATCTGCAGCTAATTCCAAAATGGGTCAATAAAATCCAGACAAAGATTTCCCTTAGCTCTGGTCTCCTCTTAATCCTCCAAGCATCTAGTACAGTGTCTAATCTTTAGCAGGAGTGGCTTTTCACTTACTCTCTCCCTTCAAACTTTCTGAAAATTTAATAGCTAATTGTACAACTAATAATTATACCTAACATGTAATTTCAGAATACAACTAGACAAAACAATATCTTTAAAATGAAAAAGCTAAAACAATAATCTCTTGTAGTTACCAATAAAAAGTCTGAAATTATAAGTCTTGTGAGACTACCATAATGGAAGAACAGGAAAGTAATGACTAGTTAAAAATCAGAATGGGAGTCATGACTTCAAAGCATTAGCCAGGGCTGGGTGTGACTGCTCAGGCCTGTAATCCCAGCACTTTGGGAGACTGGAAGATCACTTGAGCCCAGGAGTTCAAGACTAGCCTGAGCAACATAGTGACAACCTGTCTCTACAAAAAATACAAAAACTGGCCAGGTGTGGTGGCACACACCTGTAGTCCCAGCTACTCAGGAGGTTGAGGCAGGGGACCACCTGAGCCTGGGGAGGTCGAAGCTGCAGTGAACAGTGATGGCGCCACTGCACTCCAGCCTGCACTCTCACTCTGGGTAACAGAGTGAGAACTTGTCTCAAAAAAAATAAAAATTAAAGCATTAGCCAATCAGAAATTTCAAGTCAGCATCTTAACCAATTCATTACAATTTATTTAAAGTATTTTCTTCAGAGAGTTCAGTGCAGTGTCCTCAAGAGGAAATCTGACCACGAACCTATCAATTTAATTCTTGCAACTGAATAAAGACTGGTTGGCAAAAAAATAATGTCAACAAGTTATTGAACCAAAAATATAATTTCCTTCCCAACTCCAAAAATCATATCACAATTCATACCAGAAGGCAAGAAAGACAAGAGCACCTGAGGCAATTAAAAGACTTGTAGAATGGGTAAAAACCTCTGAAATTTAAAAAAAAAGAACTTTTAGGGCTTCTTCCATAAAACAAGACTACTACTGGAGTAAATGATCTCTGGAATTCTTTCCAGAATTAAAGGACTAGAGATAGATTATTTTCTAACTATGAATTTCACTGGTTTTTCTAGTCTTATACATATTAAAAAGATAGCACAAGACTTCATCTTAATTCTGAGGGCACATAAAAACAAACGGGTGTTTTCTTCAAAAAAAAAAATGGGTGTGGACTGTGTATACTTACTTGACTCAGAAAGACAAGTATACTTGACTCAGCAAGTATATACAATCCACACCCTTTTTTTGTTTTTTATAAGAAAATCCTTACTATTTGATACTATTTTCCTCTACAAGTAACTAATACAATACTAACTGGTCAGTTTTTTGTTGTTGTTGTCTTGAGACAGAGTCTTGCTCTGTCGTCTGCACTCTGGAGTGCAGCAGCAAGATTCTTGTGCCTTAGCCTCCCGAGTAGCTGGGATTACAGGCGTGGGCCATCACACCCAGCTAATTTTTGTATTTTTAGTAGAGACAGGATTTCACCACGTTGCCTAGGCTGGTCTCAAACTCCTGACCTCAACTGATCCACCCACTGTGGCCTCCTAAAGCTCTGGGATTGCAGGCATGAACCACCACGCCCAGTCTCTTAACTGGTTAATTTTAAAACAAAAAAAAGTTATCATACTAGAAGCTATTAATTTGACCTGAAATAAGTAATTGCAAATATAATTTTTTGTTCTTCCTGGAGTCTTCAAACTCAGTGGATTGTATCATTCTGTTTCCATCATGTGAAACCTGAATGATTTTTCCCACAGAAATAATACAGCCTTGTTCACAAAACTTGAAAACTCAAATCCCCAGGGGAACACTGTAGGCCTAAAGGAAAAACAATATAAGGATGGAACAACTTCACACGGTGTCAAAGATTTATGGGGAGAGAAAAGGGGTTCTTAAGTAATTTCACATGCTTATGAAATATGTGTATGCTAAAATAAATGTCAGAACAGATGTCTTTAAAGTTCTATTAAATATTTAAGAAACAGATTATTCCTATTTTATTTAATCTATTCCAACACATAAAATGGAAACAAATATATATTTGTAGCTTATCAATTTATTCAGGATTTGTTTATTGTCTGTCTTCCCCACTTGCCTTTATGCACTACGAGGACAAATACCACTTCTGTCTCATTCACCATTACACCAAGCATAGTGCCCGGCCACAGTAGTGCTCAGTAACTCCTGCTGAATGAATGTTGCTGAATTCCAAGTTCTCGTATGAGATCAGCATAACACTGATACCAAAAACTGACAGAGAAAAGAGAAAAAAGAACCAGAAATGAAAGCATATTTAATTTTTGTTGATCCTTGTTTTTAGAGACAGGGTCTTGCTCTGAACAGCCCAGGTTGGAGTGAAGTGGCATGAACATTGCTCACTGCAGCCTCAAACTCCTGAGCCCAAAAGATCTTCCTGCCTCAGCCTCCCAAGTATCTGGGACTATAGGAATGTACCACCACACCTAGCTGATTATTTATGTTTTATCCATACATACCCAAATCCTAATTAAAATAGTAGTGAATTAAACTGCAAAATCCTGACTGTAGCAAACTTTTAGAAAAAGTGATTCAGTTTCCTTCAACACAAAAAAAGCAAGATGAAAAGAGAACCTACAGACTGAAAAAGATCTTAAGGAATACATCTCAAGCAATCACTAACTTACAGACCTTATTTGAGTCCCAATCCAAACACATGAGGAAAACACAATAAAAAAATTGAGAAAACATGAATATTTGATAATATTAAGGAATAAGTTCATTTTCTATAGGTAGGATAATGCTATTATAGTAATTTATGTGATCTTTCAGAGATATACAAAAATAACTTGACAGGTTAAATGATATGACTGGGATTTGCTCTAAAATAACTGGGCAGAGGGTATGTATATAAAACAAGATTGACAGTTATTGGGGCTGTATGGTGTTATGATACATACATATACGGGGACGGGGACACACACACACACACACACACACACACACACACACACACACACACACACACACGTTTCTGTCTACAGCTTCTGGCCCATAACTCCCATAGCCCTTGCTGGAGTCTTCTGTTATAATGCTAGGTATGTCAGGCCTCAGAAAACAGAATCTCTCAAATCTTTTCCCACCCTCCCTTCAACTGTCCTAAGGTAGAACTCTATCTCTCCCAATACCCCTTTCTCATTGTGAGTCTTAAGCCCCTCTCACAGGCAGGGCAGGGTGGCTCACTCCTACAATCCCAGCATTTTGGGAGGCTGAGGCGGGAGGATCACTTGAGGTCAGGAGTTTGAGACCAGCCTTACCAACATGGTAAAACCCCATCTCTACTAAAAATACAAAAATTAGCCGGGCGTGGTGGTGCATGCCTGTAATCCCAGCTACTCGGAGGTGGAGGTTGCAGTGACCCAAGATGGTGCCACTGCACTCCAGCTGGGCAACAGAGTGAAAGCGTGTCTCAAAAGAAAAAGACGGAGACTCCCACTCTGTACTCTGGGAGAAGGAATGCTAACATCATGAAGCTTCCATAAAAACTCAAGAGGACTGGATTTGGAGAGCTTCTGGCTAGCTGAACACCTGGACGGAGGTTCGTGGATGGTGACACCCCAGGGAGGATATGGAAAGTCAGTGCACCTTCCCCCCTACCTTGCCAGACAAATCTCTTCATCTGTATACTTTGCAATCGCCTTTAGAATAAACCAGTAAACATAAAAGAGTTTCTCTGAGTTCTGTGAAACACTCTGGCAAATTAAACCTAAAGAGAGGACCGAGGGAACCCTGACATGAGTGAAGCTGGTGGTCAGAAGCACTTGAGGCCCAGACTTGTGACTGATGAGTGCTAGGGGGCAATCTTGGAGACTGCGCATTCAACCAGTGGGATCTGACACTATCTCCAGGTAGACAGTGTCGGCATTGAACTGGAGAACACCCAACTGGTGGCAGCTGCTTGGTGTGTGGGGAAAACTGCCCACACATTTGGCCACAGAATTCTTTTTCTGTGTTGATAATTGCTGTGGTGGTGTGTGAGTAGAAAAAAATAAGAGTTTTTACAAAGCAGGATTAATCTACATTTTTGTTGTTGCTGTTGTTGTTGTTGCTGTTGTGACAGTCTCAGTCTGCCACCCAGGCTGGACTGCAGTGGCACGATCTCAGCTCACTGCAACCTCTGCCTCTGGGGTTCAAGTGATTCTCCTGCCTCAGTATCCCAAGTAGCTGGGATTATAGGCACACACCACCACACTCGTTAATTTTTGTATTTTTAGTAGAGTTGGGGTTTCACCATGTTGGCCAGACTGGTCTCGAACTTCCTGACTTCAGGTGATCTGGCCACCTCACCCTCCCAAAGTGCTAGGATTACAGGCATGAGTCATGCCCAGCCAAATCTACTTTTATGAGTTTGGAACTTTCTAAAATAAAGAACTAAAACAAGGCTGGGTGCCATGGCTCACACCTGTAATCCCAGCACTTTGGGAGGCCAAGGCTGGTGGATCACCTGAGGTCAGGAGTTCCAGACCAGCCTGACCAACATGGAGAAACCACGTCTCCACTAAAACTACAAAAAATTAGGCAGGCATGGTGGCGCATGCCTGTAATCCCAGCTACTCACTCGGGAGGCTGAGGCAGGAGAATCACTTGAACCCGGGAGGCGGAGATTGCGGTGAGCCAAGATCACGCCATCACACTCCAGCCTGGGCAACAAGAGCGAAACTCCATCTCAAAAAAAAATAAAATCACTTAAGCCTATATACAGTTTAACATTTTTATAAAGCTCACAATTAAGCAAAAATAAACAATATATTATTTAGGAATATATATCATGTGGTTTATAAAAGGAAGGAAATGATAAACCCAAAATTCGGGAGAACAGCTAACTCTGTGGAGTAGTAAAAGGATAGGATAGGACAGAAACAGACAAATAAATAAATAGTAATGTATTGGTAATGCTCTAGTTTTCAAGACAACTAATAAGCTTGCAAATGTTTATTATTATGCCTCATAACTTAGATGTTTTACATTCATATTTTTTCTGTATGTTAAACATCATACAATGAAAAATTCTAAAGCATATAGCTCTAAATGCTACAAATTCTGTTTAGCAAAAATTAAAAGTTTAGATCAGGTTGGCAAACTAAACATCTATCCATCCTAATCATAATCTCTTAAAAAATAAAACCGTAATAGCACTAACAAACCCCCTCCTAAAAGGGTGGCTCCTAAAAGTTATCAAGATACCACAAATGAAGTCTTTACAAAGGAATGAAGATCAGACTGACAGAGAAACAAGCCCTATTCTCTGGAGAAATGACAGATTCTAAGGCCAAGGCCAATCTGAAAGAGCTCTCAATGGCCAAAGATAAAACAACTTGAGCAACAAAATAAATCAATGTGGGACTTTAATCCAAAATATAAACTAAATACTCAAGTCCATACTGATTTCATATAACTGAGACAGGTACTTTACCTCAGGTATTTTTCCAAAAATCCACAAGCCCAGTCTAATTACGAGGAAAACAGCAGACAAAACCAAATTGAGGACCTGACCAGTTTTCCCCAAAGCTGTCAAATTACTGGGAGCGGGGGGAAGGACTAAGAAACTATCACAGACCAGAAGAAACTAAGAAAGTATAACAACTAAACACAATTTAGTTATCCTAGATTGGATCCTGAAATAGAAAAAAAAAAATTGTAGAAAACCTGGGTTGGGTGCAGTGGTTCACACCTGTAATCTCAGTACTTTGCAAGGCCGAGGCAGAAGGATCGGATCTCTTAAGCCCAGGAGTTCCAGACCAGCCTGGGCAACATGGTGAAACCCAGTCTCTACAAAAAAAAAAAAAAAAAAATCAGCCAGGCATGGTGGCACGTGCCTGTAGTCCCAGCTACTAGGGAGGCTGAGGCAGGAGGATCACCTGAGCCAGGGGTAGTCAAGGTTGCAGTAGGACATGATCATGCCACTGTACTCCAGCCTGGGGAGACACAATGAGACCCTGTCTCAAAAAAAGAGAGAGAAAAAAAAAAGAAGAAGAAAGAAAAACAGGGGAAATCTAAATACAGTCCAGAGTTTAGTTGATACTAACGTACCAAGGTAGGTTTTTCAGTTTTGACAAATGTATCATGGTAATGTAAGATGGTTAACATTAGGGAAAACTGAGTTAGGGATAGCCAGGAACTCTCTGTACTCTCTGTACTATCTCTACAAATGTTCTGTAAATCTAAAATTATTCCAAAATAGAAATAGTGTCTCAAAAAAATTAAAATTAAAAATAAATAATAGGCTGGGCGCGGTGGCTCATGCCTGTAATCCCAGCACTTTGGGAGGCCAAGGCGGGGGGATCACAAGGTCAGGGGTTCGAGACCATCCTGGCTAATACGGTGAAACCCCATCTCTACTAAAAATACAAAATATTAGCTGGGCGTGGTGGTGTGCCCCTGTAGTCCCAGCTACTCGGGAGGCTGAGGCAGGAGAACTGCTTGAACCCGGGAGGCAGAGGTTGCAGTGAGCCGAAATCGCATCACTGCACTCCAGCCTGCGCGACAGAGCGAGGCTCCGTCTCAAAAAAATAAATAAATAATAAAAAAGAGTCCAAGAACATGATGGTGGAATAGGAGGTCCAGGTTCTAGTCACTATCACAGAAATGTCAATTAGTAATTATCCACAGACAAGAACACCTTTGTGAAAATTCCAGAGCCTAGGGCTTAAGCACTCCCTTGGAGCACAAATACCAAAAGCCCCATTAGACGGGTAAGAGTGGCTTGACTTTTTGACTGCATCGCCCCTCACCAGGCCCACATGGGGCCAGAGAGTGATCCCCTGGGCCTATAGTTTCTGCAGTGGGAAAAAGAAAGCCCAAGGCAGACATTCAGCTTCCCCAACTTTCCCAGCTTTCCAGGGTGCTTTCCAGGAGATCCATGTCTGTCTTGCCTCATAGGGAAGAAATGGGAGGGCTAGACCACTGGAGTCAGCTAGGAACAAAGAAGGGGGTGGGGCTCACAGCAAACAGTATGCAAATCATGACAATGAGACCACATCCCTGCCAGTGGCCTCACCCAACCAGAGAGCCCAACCACCAGCTCTGCCCATCTGCGGCATGTCTATCCAACAAGCACAGTCAACATTCTGCCTGGCTTGGGTCCTGTGCCAGTGATCCAGTCTGACCTCAGCTGAGCATAGCCTATGGCCTCACCTAATAGTATAGCTGAAACTCCAACTCCACAGGACCAACCAGGCAACCTGCCTGCCCAACCAGGCAGCCCGGCCACAGAACCCGTCTAACCTTGGAGCAGGGCCAGCAGCCCCATCCAGGCAAAAAAATCAGCCAATGCCCCCATTCAACAGCTAAACTTAACATACAACCCCACCTGATTGCAGAATGCAGCCTATAGTCCTACCCATCTATGGTGCATACCCTGTAGCCTCACCTGACCGGGGAAATTCCAGAGTACAGCCTGCAGCCCTCCCAAGTCACAGAGCAGCCTGGCCTAAACATGGAGCCCAGCCAGCTGCCCCTCCTAACCTCAGAGCCCAGCCAACAGACCTGCACTGGCCTCAGACCCCAGAGAACAAGCCCCACCTAACCTCAGAGTATGGGCAGCTACCAAGTTCAACAAGAGATTCCAGCAGCACGCCCTGCTTGCCCACAGATACTACCAGCTGACCCATCCAGAACCCCAGGTTAGGCTGACTGGTGAAGGTCTTTCCTCACAGAAATGAATTGGTAAAGACTAAAAGAAGTGACTACTTCCTCAAATGCACAGAAACCAACACAAGGACAAAAAGATCATTAAGAATCAAGGAGGCCAAGTGTAGTGGCTCACGCCTGTAATCCTAGCACTTCAGGAGGCTGAGGCAGGTGGATCACCTGAGGTCAGGAGTTCAAGACAAGCCTGGCCAACATGGTGAAACCCCATCTCTACTAAAACTACAAAAATTAGCCAGGCATGGTAGCACATGCTTGTAACCCCAGCTACTGGGGAGGCTGAGGCAGGACAATCACTTGAACCCAGGAGGCAGAGGCTACAGTGAGCTGAGATCGTGCCACTGCACTCCAGCCTAGATGACAGAGCAAAAATCTGTCTCAAAAGAAAAAAAAAGAACCAAGGAAACATGATACCACAAAAGAAAACTAATAAAATGCCAAAAAACAACCCTAAAGAAATGGAGATCTATAGAACTGACTGACAAAGAATTCAGAATAATCCTCTTGGCCAGGTGCAGTGGCTCTCACTTGTAATCCCAGCACTTTGGGAGGCCAAGGCGGGCAGATTGCTTGAGCCCCGGCTGTTTGAGACTAGCACAACATAGTGAAACCCGTCTCTATAAAAGAAAAAAAAAATTTTAATAAAAATTTTTACAAAATAATAAATAAATAAATAATCCTATTAAAGAAGGTCCGTGAACTATAATAAAACACAAATAACTGGCCGGGCACAGTGGCTCACATCTGTAATTCCAGCACTTTGGGAGGCCAAGGCAAGCGGATCACAAGGTCAAGAGTTCAACGCCAGCCTGGCCAACATAGTGAAACCCCGTCTCTACTAAAAATACAAAAATTAGCCGGGTGTGGTGGCACACGCCTGTAGTCTCAGCTATTCGGGAGGCTGAGGCGGGAGAATCACTTGAACCCAGGAGGTGGAGGTTGCAGTGAGCCAAGATTGTGTCACTGCACTCCAGCCTGGGTTACAGAGTGAGACTCCATCTCAATTAAAAACACACACACACACACACACACACACACACACACACACAAATAACAATATTAGAAAGACAATACATGAACAAAATGAAAACAAAGAAACAAATAATAAAAAGCAAATCTTAGAGCGGAAGAATATAATGACTGAACCAAATAATTCAATAGAGAATTTCAACAGCAGACTCAATCAAGCTGAAGAATCAGTGAAGCTAGGCATGGTGGCTCACGCTTGTAATCCCGGTGCTTTGGGAGGCTGAGACAGGAGGATCACTTGAGGCCAAAAGTTCAGGATCAGCCAGGGCAACATAGTGAGACCGTGTCTATATTAAAAAAAATTATTTAGGCTGGGCGCCGTGGCCGTAATCCCAGCACTTTGGGAGGCCGAGTAGGGCAGATCACCTGAGGTCAGGAGTTCGAGACCAGCCTGGTCAACACAGCGAAACCCCATCTCTACTAAAAATACAAAAAATTAGCCGGGCGTGGTGATGCATACCTGTAATCCCAGCTACTCGGGAGGCTGAGGCAGGAGAATCGCTTGAACCCAGGAGGCAGAGGTTGCAGTGAGCCGAGATCACGCCATTGCACTCCAGCCTGGGCAATAAGAGTGAAATTCCGTCTCCAAAAAAAAAAAAAAATTGTTTTTAATTAGCCAAGCTTAGTGGCACACACCTGTGGTCCCAGCTACTCAAGAGGCTGAGGTAGGAGGATAAACTTCAGCCCGAAAGGTCGAGGCTGCAGTGAGCCATGACCACACCACTGCACTCCAGCCTAGGAGTCAGAGCAAGACCTGGTCTCAAATAAATAAATAAATAAATAAAAAGCCAGCAGCTTTTTATAGAAACTTGGCAAGCTAATTTTAAAAATCATATGGAGCCAGACATGGTAGCGTGTTTGTGTAGTTGCAGCTACTCAGGAGACTGAGGTAGGAGGATCACTTGAGCCCAAAAGTTGGAGGCCAGCCTAGGCAACATAGTGAGACTCTATCTCAAAAAAAAAAAAAAAAAAAAAAAAAAAAAAAAAAAAACCAAAAAATTTGTATAGAAATCCAAAGGACTGGCCGGACGTGGTGGCTCATGCCTGTAATCCCAGCACTTTGGGAAGCCGAGGCAGGTGGATCACCTGAGGTCAGGAGTTCGAGACCAGCCTGACCAACATGGAGAAACCCCGTCTCTACTAAAAATACAAAATTAGCCGGGCATAGTGGCACATGTCTGTAATCCCAGCTACTCGGGAGGCTGAGGCAGGAGAATCGCTTGAACCTGGGAGGCGGAGGTTGCGGTGAGCCGAGATCGCGCCATTGCACTCCAGCCTGGGCAACAAGAGTGAAACTCCGTCTCAGAAAAAAAAAAAAAAGAAAAATCCAAAGGCTCTACAGTCGTAACAACTTTGGGAAACTTTCTTTTCTGGTTTCAAAATTTATTATAAAGCTACAATTATCAAGATAGTGTGATACTGGCATAAAGATAGACAAACAGATCAATAGAATAGAACAGGTCCAAATATAGACATGGACAAAATATTTTAGAAAGGGTAATCTTTTCAACAAAAAGTGCTAAAATAGATATCTATGTGCAAACAAAAAAAATCTTCCATCCATATGACGTCATATATAATTAATTCAAAATGAATCATAGACAAAAAAGTCAAACCTGAAAGTATAAAACTTCAAGAAGAGAACATCTTTCTGACCTTAGATTAAGCAAAAATTCTTAGATATAACACCAAAAGCACAAACCATAAAGGAAAAACTAAAGGGGACTTCAATGAAATCAAAAACTTCTTATAAGACACTGTTAGAGAAAAAAAAAAAAACTTACCTGAATGTATGAAATACATTTAAAAAATCTCTGTTCTCAAATGACAAAAGAAAAAAATCCGTGTATGTGTAAGCACAGAAAAAAAGATAAAAACAATACACAGGGATGAATAAAGTGAGTTTGAGCAAGAATTGTCAGGGGTCAAGTCTCAGTTCTGCAACTTACTAGGTTACGTATCCCTTGTACAAGTTAACATTTGAGTTTTAATCAATCAAATGGGAATAACAGGCTGGTCCAATGGTAGTGGCTCATCAGAACTTATTCAAAGCAGTGTTACTAAAGTTGGTATACAACCCCCCACTGCTAAATTTGACTGGCTGAAAAAAGAAAAATAAAATAGAGATAATAGTAACTATCTCATAAAGTTATTGTAAGGATCAAATGAGATAATGCATACAAAGTGCTTAGAACAATCTGAACACATGGCATAATGTTTTCAATAAATGTGAGCTCCACAAATATTTTATATAAATATTCTAATAGTGGATATTTCCAATGGTGGCTTAAAGAAAATTTTTATTGGTCAGGTGCGGTGGCTCACGCCTATAATCCCAGCACTTTGGGAGGCCGAGGCAGGAGGATCACGAGGTCGGGAGATCGAGACCATCCTGGCTAAAACAGTGAAACCCCATCTCTACTAAAAATACAAAAAATTAGCCGGGCATGGTGGCAGGTGCCTGTGGTCCCAGCTGCTGAGGAGGCTGAGGCAGGAGAATGGCGTGAACCTGGGAGGCGGAGTTTACAGCGAGCCGAGATTGTGCCACTGCACTCCAGCCAGGGCAACAGAGCGAGACTCCATCTCAAAAAAAAAAAAAGAGAGAGAATTTTTCTTTTTATACATCTCTGTATTCTAACTTTTCAAAATAGCTATTACACATTCTTAGCAATATAATTTTTTAGCCCTCAAAATG
This sequence comes from Homo sapiens, assembly GCF_000001405.40. Taxonomy (NCBI): domain Eukaryota; kingdom Metazoa; phylum Chordata; class Mammalia; order Primates; family Hominidae; genus Homo; species Homo sapiens. The sequence continues at coordinate 34,194,223 of NC_000009.12, read as the reverse complement.
AATACAAAATGAAACAAATAAACCTAACTTTACAGAAAATTAGTAAAATGACCAGAGAATATAATTATTTGAAGTGACTTTAGAACTCGGTATTCTAATTGTATACATCAGTAAAATATATTTGTAGTGTTATGACATATATTGGTTTTCATCCACTGTTCCTGGTTCATAATTCCCACAGCCCTAGTTACAGTCTTCTGATACAATATTGGGTGTGTTAGGTCTCAGGGGCAGGTCTCAGGAAACAAAACCTCTTCCTCTGCCCTACTTTCACCTGCCCCAAGAAAGGACTATAATCTTTCCCCACCTTTCTGATTGTGGGTCTTAACACCCTCCCCAGAGAGGGGACTGCCCTATACCCTGAGAGAAGGCATCCTGACATCATGAAGCTTCCACAAAAGCCCAAGAGGACTGGGTTCAGAGAACTTCTGGATAGCTGAACACCTGGAGGTTCCTGGATGGTGGTGCCCCAAGAAGGGTATAGAAGCTCCACACCTCTTCCCCCATACCTTGCTCTATGCATCCCTTCATCTATATCCTTTGTAAGATTCTTCAGAATAAACCAATAAATTTCAGTGTTTCCCTGAGTTCTGTGAGATGCTCCAGCAAATTAACCAAACCCAAAGAGGGGATCGTGGGAACACCAACATGAAGACAGTGGGTCATAAGATCCAGGGCCCCAGACATGCAACTGGTGTCCAGGGGTGTGCAGGCAGTCTTGAAGACTGAGCCCCCAACCTGAATTGGAGAACACCGAGCTGGTGTCCACTGCTTGGTGCAGAGGTGAAAAACCCCCACACTTTTGGTCACAGATGTGTTCTGTGTTGATGATTGTTGTGGTGGTGTGAGAGTAGAGGAAGAACGTGGTTTGAGAGCTTCCCCTACACAATATTTTTATTATTTTTATTTTTTTGAGACAGAGTCTCACTCTGTCACCCAGGCGGGAGCGCAGTGGCGTGATCTCAGCTCACTGCAACCTCCACCTCCTGGGTTCAAGCGATCCTCCTGCCTCAGCCCCCCTGAGTAACTGGGATTCTAGGTGCATACCACCACGCCTGGCTAATTTTTTGTATTTTTAGTAGAGAGATGGGGTTTTGCCACATTGGCCAAGCTGTTCTCAAACTCCTGACCTCAAGTGATCTGCCTGCCTCGCCTCCCAAAGTTCTGGGAATTACAGACGTGGGCCACTGCGCCTGGCCCTCCCTTACACAGTATTTTAAGAACATAAAGAATAGCAAAGATTTTAGATTGTACTTATCAGCTATAATAGCAGTATTACTATTTTAAAACCCTTTTTATATGAGTCCAATATAGAAAAATAAGTAATTATAGTTGTAAAGAACTAATATTTTTATATAAAAGAGGAAAGGCAAAATATTTAAAGTCCTATAATTCTAAAATCTAAATTATATTTCTTTGCAGGGGCTAAAAGTTAAACAAATAATAAATATCATTATGAACTTGTGATTTTAAAAAAATACATTAGCCAGGCTTGGTGGCTCATGCCTATAATCCCAGCACTTTGGGAAGCCAAGGTGGGAGGTATGCTCGAGGCCAGGAGTTTGAGACCAAACTGGGCAACATAGCAAGACCCCCATCCCTAAAGAAAATTGAAAAATAAAAAAAGAGTTCAAGGCTGAGAGAGATTGGTTTTAAAACTGGAAAGATGAACTAGAAGTGTAGATCTTTTTTTTTTTTTTTTTTTTTTGAGATGGAGTCTCATTCTATCCACCCAGGCTAGAGTGCAGTGGCGTGACCTCGGCTCACTGCAACCTCCACCTCCCGGGTTCAAGTGATTCTCCTGTCTCAGCCTCCTGAGTAGCTGGGATCACAGGCGTGCGCCACCATACCCGGCTAATTTTTGTATTTTCAGTAGAGACGGGGTTTCACCATGTTGGTCAGGCTGGTCTCACATTCCTGACCTCATGATCCACCCACCTCAGCCTCCCAAAGTGCTGGGATTACAGGCATGAGCCACCGCGCCTGGCCTGAACTTTAGATCTTTCAACTCACTGTCCACAGTTCTGCCATTACAATACAAGCTCTCATAGCAAAAGACACTATTTAAAAAGTTTATACAGGCCGGGGACCGTGGCTCATGCCTGTAATCCCAGTACTTTAGGAGGCCATGGAGGGACGATCACTTGAGGTCAGGAATTAGAGACTAACCTGGGCAACACAGCAAAACCCCATCACTAAAAAAAAAAATTTAATTAAAAAAATTTTTTTTAAATTTAAAAAATTAAAAAAAAAAATCCAAGGCTGAGAGAGGTTGGTTTTTAAACAGGAAAGCTGAACTAGGACTTTTTTTGTTCACAAATCCACTTTTACTTTTTAGTAGTTTAAATCCTTGAGGGGTACAACATCACGTGAATTCTGTGTCCAAACGGCCTCAGCAGGAAGATTCCTTTGGAATTTGGCATGTCTGTTTCCATGGGCGCAAATTATCTTTCCACAGATTACTCTGGTTTTGTTTGGTTTGCCACCAGGAGTCACTGTGTTGTTCTTTGCTTTGTATACATAAGCACAAATCTCTTGCCCAAACAGAATTCAGCTTCATCTCAGGCATAAACACCTTCGATTTAAAAACAGTTGTGTGCTCTCTTTGATTCTGGAGACCACACTTACAGCCAACAAAAAATGGCCTTGGACCACAGCCTTCCAGACATATTTGCCTTTTAGAAGTCCTATTCCCAGCAGGCCTCTAAAAGCTTCAAGATGGTGGAAAAAGTGAACTACAACTTTCGATCTTTCAACTCACTGTCCAGAGTTCTGCCATTACAATATCATCCCTCATGGCTAAAGACACTATTTTAAAGTTTACACAGGCCAGGCACAGTGGATCACACCCACAATCCTGGTGCTTTAGGAGGCCAAGGTGGGAAGACTGCTTGAGGCCAGAAGTTTCAGACCAGGGAACATAGCAAGACCCCATCTCTATAAATAAATAAATACAAACTCTCAAGCCCACACCAGAGCTACTGACTCAGAATCTACATTTTAATAATACATCCAAGTTATCCATACACACACTAAAACTTTGAGAATCACTGACCTACAACAGTGCTGTCCAGCAGAACTTTCTACACTGATGAAAATGTTTTATATCTCCACTGTCAATGTTGGAGACATATCAGACAGGACAGATACAGAATGTCTCAAATTAGAACTGCACCTAAACATAATTTCTTATACTACTAAATGAAATAAATCTCCATTACTCTAATATATATATGCTCTTCCACTAAATATAATGCCAGTAATATATCCAGAGCAGGCTGGGCACTGTGACTCACACCTGTAATTCCAACACTTTGGGAGGCCGAGGCAGGTGGATCACCTGAACTTAGGAGTTTGAGACCAGCCTGTGCAACATGATGAAACCCCATCTCTACAAAAAATACAAAAAAAAAAAAAAAAAGAGCCAGGCATGGTGGCATGAGCCTGCAGTCCCAGCTACTCGGGAGGCTGAGGTAGGAGAATCACCTGAACCCAGGAAGTCAAGGCTGCAGCAGTGAGCTGTGACTGCATCACTGCACTCCAGCCTGGGCAACAGAGCGAGACCCTGTCTCCAAAAAAAAAAAAAAAAAGAAAGAAAGAAAGGAAAAAAGATTCCCTATTAAATTACAAGAACTGCCAGGCATGGTGGCTCAAGTCTGTAATCCCAGCACTTTGGGAAGCTGAGGAAGGTGGATCCCCTGAGATCAGGAGTTCAAGACCAGCCTGGCCAACATGGTGAAACCCCATCTCCACTAAAAATAAAAAATTTAGCCAGGCATGGTGGCAAGGGCCTGTAATCCCAGCTACTCAGGAGGCTGAGGCAGGAGAATCGCTTGGACCCAGGAGGCAGAGGTTGCAGTGAGCCAAGACCACACCACTGCACTCCAGTCTGGGTGACAGAGTGGGACTCCACCCCAAAAAATAAATAAATTACAAGAACTAGCTAATATTTCTTCTTCAAGAAAACGGATAGGACACGACATAAACAATTAAAGACCTTCCGTGATTTTTGTTTAAGATTTTATTAACATTAAATTTTTTTAACTTTTAAGTTCAGGGGTACATGTGAAGGTTTGTTACATAGGTAAACTTGTGTCATGGGGGTTGTTGTACAGATTATTTCATCACCCAGGTATTAAGCCTGGTATCCATTAGTTATTTTTCCTGATCCTCTCCCTTCTATTTTTGCTAAAGTATTTTCAGAAAACAAAAGTTGTTAAGTTTGTTTCCTTTGGCTAGAATATCTCGGAAATATAATAAACCTTTGATGAAAGAATTAAATATGTCTGGCCAGGAGCAGTGGCTCACACCTGTAATCCCAGCACTTTGGGAGGCTGAGGCGGGTAGATCACCTGAGGTCAGGAGTTCAAGTCCAGCCAGACCAACACGGAGAAACACCGTCTCTACTAAAAATACAAAATTAATCGAGCATGGTGGAGCACGCCCGTAATCCCAGCTACTCGGGAGACTGAGGCAGGAGAACTGCTTGAACCCAAGAGGCAGAGGCTGCAGTAAGCCAAGATTGTACCATTGCACTCCAGCCTGGGCAACAAGAGCAAAACTCCGTCTCAAAAAATAATAATAATAATAATAATTTCCAAATTTGAAAGTTCACAAACTACCCCTAAAGTCTGCTCCAGCAGTGATTTTTAATTTGGCTGACCATTTGACCTTGAATTCCACCCATGCAGCCAGATCACTTCTCTCATGAGGTATCCTATAAGACATAATGATCGGCCGGGTGCGGTGGCTCATGCCTGTAATCCCAGCACTTTGGGAGGATGAGGCAGGTGGATCATTTGAGTTCAGGAGTTTGCGACCAGCCTAGCCAACATGGTGAAACCCCATTTCTACTAAAAATATAAAAATTAGCCAGGCATGGTGGCACGTGCCTGTAATCCCAGCTACTCGGGAGGCTGAGGTGAAAGAATCACTTGAACCCTGGAGGAGGAGGTTGCAATGAGTCAAGATCGCACCACTGCACTCCAAGCTAGGCGACACAGCAAGACTCTGTCTTTAAAAAAAAAAAAAAAAGATATAATGATCTACTAGAAGAAAGAAATGGGGAAGTTACTGCCCATATCCTTCCCCATGAAACTACTGAAGGAAATGTTAACACTCCCAAACTATAGAAAGATTTTAGGATTAGGAAGATTCCATTCTTACCAGTAAGGATGCAAACCCCACCTGGGACCAAGACCATGATGATGAGATGAAGCAAAAGACAGGCAAAGCCAGCCTAATCTTTTTTATTTTTTATTTTTTGGAGATGGAGTTTCACTCTTGTCGGCCAGGCTGGAGTGCAATGGTACGATCTCGGCTCACCGAAACCTCTGCCTCCCGGCTTCAAGCAATTCTCCTGCCTCAGCCTCCTGAGTAGCTGGGATTACAGGAATCCACCACCATGCCTGGCTAATTTTTCTATTTTTAGGAGAGACAGGGTTTCACCATGTTGGCCAGGCTGGTCTCGAACTCCTGACCTCAGGTGATCCACACGCCTCAGCCTCCCAAAGTGCTGGGATTACAGGCGTGAGCCAACGCACCCGGCCCAAGACAGACTAATCTTGAGTTTCCAATAGGTTACTAAAGGAGGCTGGAATAGGCCAGTGGTAGTAACAAACAACAGAAAAAGGCAGGAAGTTAAAGGTAGCTGAAAGCACCAGGCATGGTGGCTCACGTCTGTAATCCCAGCACTTGGGGAGGCCGAAGCAGGTGAATTACTTGAGGCCAGGCATTTAAGACCAACCTGGGTACCAGGGCAAGATCCCATCTCTTTAAAAAAAAAAAAAAAAAAAAAAAAGCTGAAGACTAAGTTTAGCATTCAAATTGCTTTACTTTGTTGCTCTCTTCTATTTACCCATCAAATCTGATGGTAACTAAAAATTTCCTGTTACACTTTTCTGTATTTCATGAAGGACACTATAAACTATGGTAGTTACATAAGTACGGATTCCCAATGATCTAAGAGTATGCCTTTCATAAATGTCAAAGGTATACTATTTGTATAAATAAACAGTATTTGTGTTGTATTTTTAATCTGGTGGTTGTAAACAGTATTTGTAGTGTATTTTTAATCTGGTGGTTGTTTTACATTTCTTTTTTTTTTTTTTTAGTGAACCCAAATTACTCAGATGTTTTATATTTCAGTGTGATCCTCGCCCAGATCAAATACTTGACTCCTTAGAAGAATAATTCCTAAAGTCAAAGTAATCACTAGTCTTCTCATTGAAAAAAAGAAAAAATGTTTTTTAGCAGCTTTAATACACAACATAGAAAAATCAATGCCACCAAGATGTATATATGTATTTATACATATACCTTAAGTCATAAGGGTTTAATGGTAGATAGGAGACACACAAGTCCAAGGAACTGGACAGTTTTGTTTTTTTTTTTAAAAAAAGCAAAAAACATTCTTCTAAGATGTTTCCATATCAACTCTTCCACAATCTACAATTATTCTTGATAAGATAGGAGACACACAAGTCCAAGGAACCGGACAGAGTTTAAAAAAAAAAGCAAAATACATTCCTCTGTTTCCATATCAGCTCTTCCACAATCCACAACTATTCTTGATAAAGCCCAACACTGTAAAAACTAGACATCAAAAAAAATTTGAATATATTTTAGTGAAAGTGCTAACAGCTTAGACTGAATGACACACTATCAATTGTATATAATACTGTCCACACAAAGAAAGGTCTCATTGTCAAATCACATTAACATTTAATAAGATGCACATCTCATTCACAAATCTGTTGGTGTCTCAGTTTGGACAATGTATGAAACCCACATGTAAGGCACAATCCAACCTCCTTTTAAAACCCTGTGGCCCTATAACTCCAAAGATAATAAGAAAGCAACTTCTAAGAAGTCTGCCTTTGTAATCAAGCAAATATTGGAAATAAATGTCAGATGAGATATACCACATTATAGATAGGTATACTACTGTATTTATTAAAACAACATGCCTGGCAGCAAAGAAGGATTTCCCAAATTTGATACAACAAGCACAAACCAGCCGGGCGCAGTGGCTCACGCCTGTAATCCCAGCACTTTGGGAGGCCCAGGCGGGTGGATCACCTGAGGTCAGGAGTTCAAGACCAGCCTGACCAATATGATGAAACCCTGTCTCTACTAAAAATACAGAAATTAGCTGGGCGTGGTGGCAGGCACCTGTAATCCCAGCTACTCGGGAGGCTGAGACAGGAGAATTGCTTGAACCCAGGAGGCGGAGGCTGCAGTGAGCCAAGATCACGCCATTGCACTCCCGCATGGGCAACAAGAGCGAAACTCCATCTCAAAAAATAAAAAATAAAAAATAAAAAAAAACACAAAACACAAACCATGAAAGACTGAAAAATTCAGTTCATTACAATTAGGAGCTTTTCTCACCAGAAGACTATGAAGAGATGAAAAGACAAGTCACAAATTGGGAAAGGATATTTGCAACCTATAAATTAACAAATAATTAGTATCCAGAATATATAAAGAACTCTTAAAAATAAATCAGAAAAAGAGAAAAGACCAAAAAAATAGGCAACGAAATTGAATATACACTTCGCAGAAGCACAAATGACCAACGAAAATACATGAAAAGATGCCCAGCTTCAGGAAATGCTGATAAAAAACACTATAGATACAATTTCAAACCCACCAGATTAGAAAAAAAAAATTAATTTAAAATCTGACAATATCAAGTGTTGAGGAGGAAGTGAAGCAGCCAAAACACACACTGCTGGCTCTTGACTCAGTAACCACAAGATTAACAATTACCATGAGCCAATTCAGTGACTCAAAACACTGGAAGTGTTTGGTAAGCATTAAGCAACTGATAATGACCAATCAAGCATTCTGAGAACACATGAGGATTACTGCCAAATACAAATTTTGGCCCTTAATGAACCGGATCCAATCTGACTCAGCAATATAAAAAAGAAACTTTCAGTCATTTATCCAGTTTATCCAGTTTATTTTGTGAAGTACAAAATAATCAGGTATTCATTTCCTCCTAGAATTCTGATGACATAATGTGACTAAAATTTTAATGAACTATTTATCATTCCAGTTACACTATTATTTCAATGAGAACAAGCAGTTCACAATGGTATTACTTTAAAACTAGTGCTTATACCTTATAGGAATTGGAATGGTCCTGTGACCACCTAAGAGGGGCAAAATGGCATAAAAGAATGCAGCATAGGCATTGAGGTTGGACAGATTTCAGTTCAAATTCAGTCTACCTAGTTGTAACCTTAGTTAAGTTACACAACCTCTGTGATCCTGTTTCCTCAATACATAAAAAGCACGCATAACACAACCTACCTACCTAATTCAAGTGTGAGAACTGAATGTGTTTGTTTGTTTGTTTTTCTTTTTTTGAGACAGAGATGCGTTCTGTCAGCCAGGCTGGAGTGCAGTGGCATGATCTAGGCTTACTGCCACCACCGCCTCCCAGGTTCAAGCAATTCTCCTGCCTCAGCCTCCTGAGTAGCTGGGATTACAGGCACCTGCCACCACGCCCAGCTAATTTTTGTCTTTTTAGTAGAGACGGGGTTTCACCGTGTTGGCCAGACTGGTCTTGAAATCCTGACCTCAGGTGATCCACCTGCCTGGGCCTCCCCAAGTGCCAGGATTACAGGCATGACCCACAGCACCCGCCCGAGATTATTTCTTTTGAGGTAGGATCTTGCTCTGTTGCCCAGGCTGGAGTGCAGGGGCATGATCTCAGCTCACTGCAGCCTCGACTTCCTGAGCTCAGGTGATCCTCCTACCTCAGCCTCTCGTGTACCTGGGACTACAGGCATGAACCACCAATCCCAGCTAATTTTTCTGTGACTTCTGTAGAGACAGGTCTCACTGTGTTGTCCAGGCTGGTCTTGAACTTCTGGGCTCAAGCAATCCGCCCGCCTGGGATTCCCAAACTGCTGGGACTACAGGCATGAGCCACTGTGTCTGGCCAAGAACTGAGATTATGTAAAGTGTTTTAACAGGGCCGAGTGCAGTGGCTCATGCCTGTAATCCCAGCACTTTGGGAGGCCGAGGCAGGCAGATCACCTGAGGTCCGAAGTTCGAGACCAGCCTGGTGAATAAGGTGAAACACCATCTCTACTAAAAATACAAAAATTAGCAGGCGTGGTGGCAGGCGCCTGTAATCCCAGCTACTAGGGAGGCTGACACAGGAGAATCGCTTGAACTCGGGAGGTAGAGGTTGCAGTGAGCCGAGATCACACCATTGCACTCCAGCCTGGGGAATAAGAGCGAGACTTCATCTCAAAAAAAAAAAAAAAAAAAAAAAAAGGATTGGCTGGGCGCGGTGGCGCACGCCTGTAATCCCAGCACTTTGGGAGGCCGAGGTGGGAGGATCACGAGGTCAAGAGATCAAGACCATCCTGGCCAACATGGTGAAACCTTGTCTCTACTAAAAATACAAAAATTAGCCGGACATGGTGGCACACCATCTGTAGTCCCAGCTACTCAGGAGGCTGAGGCAGGAGAATCTCTTGAACCTGGGAGGTGGAGGTTACAGTGAGCCGAGATTGTGCCACTGCACTCCAGCCTGGCAACAGAGCGAGACTCTCTTTTTTTTTTTTTTTCAGACGGAGTCTCGCTCTATTGCCCAGGCTGGAGTGCAGTGGCGTGATCTTGGCTCACTGCAAGCTCCACCTCCCGGGTTCACGCCATTCTCCTGCCTCAGCCTCCCGAGTAGCTGGGACTACAGGTGCCCGCCACCAGGCCCGGCTAATTTTTTCTATTTTTAGTAGAGACAGGGTTTCACCGTGTTAGCCAGGATGGTCTCGATCTCCTGACCTTGTGATCCGCCCGCCTCGGCCTCCCAAAGTGCTGGGATTACAGACCTGAGCCACCGCGCCCGGCCCAGAGCGAGACTATCTAAAAAAAAAAGGAAAGAAAGTGTTTAACAATCCTGGCTCATTAGTACATACCCAGTGTCAGCACCCTTTCCTTTGTGAATCTTGCTACTTCCACCTAAAATTTCTAAAACCTGAAATCGTAACTCTCGATTCATAGGAAAATATTACTGTTACCTTCAAGTTATTTTCTAATGTTACAGGACACTGTATGTTACAGGTTGGAAGAGCACTACTCTGCTTGCTTCTTTTTTCTAATTGAACATACTTTTCCTATAAGAAATTCTGGGCCGGGAGCGCTATCTCACACCTGTAATCCCAGCACTTTGGGAGGCCGAAGCGGATGGATCACCTGAGTTGAAGAGTTTGAGACCAGCCTGACCAACATGGAGAAACCCCGTCTCTACTAAAAACACAAAATTAGCCGGGCATGGTGGCACATGCCTGTAATTCCAGCTACTCGGGAGCCTGGGGTAGGAGAATCACTTGAACCCGGGAGGCGGCAGTTGCGGTGAGCTGAGATGGCGCCATTGCACTCCAGCCTGGGCAACAAGAGCAAAGCTCCGTTTCAAAAAAAAAAAACAAAAAACAAACAAAAAAAAAGAAATTCTGAAAAATCCTATTACTTCCTTAGAAATCTGGAAAAGAGGATGGATTTTCATTTGTTTTGGTATAGAAGCAGGGATTCCCATTCTGTGTGGGAAACTACACCCAGGTGATTTCTAAGCTTCTTTTCAGCTTGAGTTTTTTTCTTTTTTTTTAATTGTTAGAAAAAAGGTTTATTTAATGTTTTTTTTTTTTTTTTGAGACGGAGTCTCGCTCTGTTGCCCAGGCTGGAGTGTAGTGGCACTATCTCAGCTCACTGCAAGCTCCGCCTCTGGAGTGGCCGGGTTCACGCCATTCTCCTGCCTCAGCCTCCCGAGTAGCTGGGACTACAGGCACACACCACCACGCCCGGCTAATTTTTTTGTATTTTTTAGTACAGACGGGATTTCACCGTGTTAGCCAGGATGGTCTCAATCTCCTGACCTCATGATCCGCCCGCCTCGGCCCCCCAAAGTGCTGGGATTACAGGCATGAGCCATGGCGCCAGGCCTATTTAATGTTTTAAGGCACTCTGTATTACCTTTTTGCATTTCTTGAGAAAGACTGTCTAAAGAAAACCACCTGATAAATGATGAATAAATATTTTTAATGAATCTGTAGGAAAAAAGATTACTCTTAAAATGATCTACATTTGAAAAATTTCAATACATTCAATAACATAACTAAAGAACAGAGGCCAGGCACAGTGGCTCACGCCTATAATCCCAGCACTTTGGAAGGCTGAGATGGGCGGATCAAGAGGTCAGGAAATCGAGACCATCCTGGCTAACACGGTGAAACCTCATCTCTACTAAAACTACAAAAAATTAGCCAGGAGATCGAGACCATCCTGGATAACACGGTGAAACCCCATCTCTACTAAAACTACAAAAAATTAGCCAGGCGTGGTGGTGGGCACCTGTAGTCCCAGCTATTCAGGAGGCTGAGGCAGGAGAATGGCGTGAACCCAGGAGGCGGAGCTTGCAGTGAGCAGAGATCGAGCCACTGTACCCCAGCCTGGGCGACTGAGTGAAAAGAAAGAAAGGAGAGAGAGAAAGAGAGAGAAAGAAAAGAAAAGAAAGAGAGAGAGAAAGAAAGAAAGAAAGAAAGAAAGAAAGAAAGAAAGAAAGAAAGAAAGAAAGAAAGAAAGAAAGAAGGAAAGAAAGAAAAAGAAAAAAGAACACGAAAAGCTTGTAATATTGGCATTTACACTCAAGGCTAATGATATTTCAACTATAATGCTGAAAATAATAAGAATTTTAGTCACTGAATTAAACGTCAGGGATCCATCTGGGCGCCATGGCTCACGTCTGTAATCCCTGCACTTTGGGAGGCCGAGGCGGGTAGGTCATTTGAGGTCAGGAGTTCAAGACCAGCCTGGCCAACGTTGTGAAACCCCGTCGCTACTAAAACTATAAAAATTAGCCGGGTGTGGTGGTGGGTGCCTGTAATCCCAGCTACTTGGGAGGCTGAGGCAGGAGAATCACTTGAACCTGGGAAATGGAGGTTGCAGTGAGCTGAGATCACGCCACAGCACTCCAGCCTGGGCAACAGTGCGAGACTCAGTCTCAATAAATAAATAAATAAATAAATAAATAAATAAATAAATAAACGTCAGGGATCCTTAAATACCATAGTTAAAAGATACACCAAATAATGTGACATTCACCAGTCAAAAATACGTGCACTAGCTGCTCATGCCTCCCAGCAGTTTGGGAGGCTGTGGTGGGAGGATCACTTGAGCTCAGGAGTTCAAAATCAGACTGGGCAACATAAGAGACCCCTTCTCTACAAAAAAAAAAATTTTAATTAAAAAATGCACTAACAATCATTGATGAGACTTGTCTACAGATCTATTATTATCTTTTCAGAATACTCTGTCTTCAAAATCAAAATGAAAAAATATTTCAGAAGAATACACAGAAGAAATGCCATGATTAGGAAATCAGTCTTAAATACTAAACGAAAGAAACTGAAGAAGTTTTCATATTTACAGAGTTTAATTTTTTTCCTTTGCCTTCATTAAAAAAAAAAAAAAAAAGGCCTGGCACGGTGGCTCACGCCTGTAATCCCAGCACTTTGGGAGGCCAAGGCGGGCGGATCACGAGGTCAGGAGATCGAGACCATCCTGGCTAACCCAGTGAAACCCCGTCTCTACTAAAAATACAAAAAATTAGCCGGGCGTGGTGGCGGGAGCCCGTAGTCCCAGCTACTCAGGAGGCTGAGGCAGGAGAATGGCGTGAACGCGGGAGGCAGAGCTTGCAGAGAGCCGAGATCGCGCCACTGCACTCCAGCCTGGGCGACAGAGGGAGACTCCGTCTCAAAAAATAAAATAAAATACAAATAAAAATAAAAAAGGCCGGGCGCGGTGGCTCACGCCTGTAATCCCAGCACTCTGGGAGGCCAAGACGGGTGGATCACGAGGTCAGCAGATGGACACCATCCTGGCTAACACGGTGAAACCCCGTCTCTACTAAAAAAATATTTTAAAAAATTAGCCAGGTGTGTGGCAGGCGCCTGTAATCGCAGCTACTGAGGAGGCTGAGGCAGGAGAATGGCAAGCCCGGGAGGCGGAGCTTGCAGTGAGCTGAGATTGCGCCACTGCACTCCAGCCTGGGCACAGAGCGAAACTCTGTCTCAAAAAAAAAAAAAAAAAGAAAACAGGCCGGGTGCGGTGGCTCACGCCTGTAATCCCAGCACTTTCGGAGACCAAGGCCGGAGGATTATTTGAGGTCAGAAGTTCGAGACCAGCCTGACCAACATGGTGAAACCCCGTCTCTACTAAAATACAAAAATTAGCCAGCCGTAGTGGTGGGTGTCTATAATCTCAGCTACTCGGGAGGCTGAGGCAGGACAGTCACTTGAACCCAGGAGGCGGAGGTTGCAGCAAGCCAAGATCGCGCCACTGCACTCCAGCCTGGGCAACAGACCGAGACTCCCTCTGGAAAAAAATAAAAAGAAACAAAAAAAAAAAAAAGTTTTTTTTCCAATGAGGTTCTAGCAGGTTAGTAAAGTTATCTGCTGTGCAATGACAGCGATGGTCACTCACTAAAGAAACATTAAGTTTAGCATTTCTGTAATTATAATGACTCTTATTATTGCAACACACAGTAGCTATTTAATAAACACCATGAATTAATAGAACTAGAAACAAAAATTTAATAAAATTTCACTTATAGTAAGTTAATGCGGACAATGTAATTCTTTTAAGACTTGACACATTTCACATTCTTTGCCATAATACGTAAACTTTTTTTTTTTTTTTGAGTCGGAGTCTCGCTCTGTTGCCCAGGCTGGAGTGCAATGCAGCGATCTAGGCTCACTGCTACCTCCGCCTCCCAGGTTCAAGCCATTCTCCTGCCTCGGCCACCCGAGTAGCTGGGATTACAGGCGCCTGCCACCACGCCCGGCTGGCTTTTTAGTAGAGAAAGGGTTTCAACATGTTGGTCAGGCTGGTCTTGAACTCTTGACCTCGTGATCCGCCCGCCTCGGCCTCCCAAAGTGCTGGGATTTCAGACGTGAGCCACAGCGCCCGGCCAATACGGAAACTTTTAGTTTAGGTTGGGACATTAACTAGAAAGAACTATATATCACTAAAGACTAAGTATCTTGTTTTTCCCACCATCAAATCTGACAAAATTAAAAAGGAAAACATCCATCATATCTATTCAAATTCTCAAATGCTAATAACTGAAGAGACAAAGCACTAACGAGTAAAGTTAGAACAGAATATACGTAATACTTAACTAAATTACCAAATCTGGTTTCGCAACACTGCATGGTGACTAAAAGTAACAATTTTTTTTTCAGTTTAACATAAAACGTATTTTTATGCCCAACCATACTTTTAAGACGCTAGTCTGGAAACAATTACATTTGGCAACAAAGGTCAAAGATCACTGATATAGCTCAAATAAATGAACCTGACGTTCCACAAGAAAGACTGGGGCGGTTCCTGAGGCCCAGGTGGACTGTATAGGTAAGCCTCCACCCAAGAAACAAAAAAGGCGGATAAACATACCTGGAGAAGACCAGACAAGGCCAAAGATATCCCCAAAGATCACTCACCTCTGGTCTAGTCTCCACCTTTTCTCCCCAATCTCATTGCCTCAGGGAGAACTAAATCTACACCGCACGTCCCCAGCTCACCCTCAACTCCCCACCACTCACCTTCTTTACTAAAATCTGGGTCCCCCTCCCTGACATCCTCTAGTTCCCACCGAGTTCTCAGTCCAGCCCGATAGATGTCTACTATGCCTGTCTTCCAGTAGGGTATTAGTCTCCTTAATCCGAACTCATTTTTCCGCATCCCACTTCCCCTCCGCCCCTTCAACTCCGGTCCCCTCACTCCGACCCTTCTCCCAGAATCCTCCCCGAATCGCGGATCTCCGGCCACTTTTCCCTCCCACCTCCTAGCTCCGGCGCCCTTCACCTCGCTCGGCCCCCCATCCCGTTTCCCAGTCTCCCAGTACCAGCCCCCCTCCCCCAACTCCGCCCCTCTTCCCCCTCCCCCAGAGGGAGGCCCCCCTCACCTGAATGCCGCTGCTGCCGCCGTCTCAGAAGCCGAAAGGTGCTGGCACCGGCCGGCCTCCCAGGCTCGGTCCCCGCTGAGCTCCCGACAGCCCCTAGGGAGAGCGAACGCCACCACCTCCAACTCTGCCCGCTCCGGGCCAGGCCGTCACCGTAGCCACCGCCAGTGCCGCAGCCGCCATGTTGAAGTCCTACTTCCCTCCTCCTTCCCCTCACCGCCCCACTCATTTGGGCGTCTGACGTCATGGCGCCGCGCTCCACACGCCCGGACCAATGGGAGGAGCCGACGGTGACATAACTAATCTCTCTTCTAGCGAGGAGCTACTCCGGCAACATGGAGCATTGCAATTGGAATGAGTAAACCCTGCTGACCTAAGGGGGAAGGAGGAAAGGAGGGGGTCACTAAGAGTGTAAGACTTGGGTTTGGCGAGGCGGCCAAAGCGGGAAACCCAAGAGCCTTGAATCGCGAAGGTATGCCCAAAGAGTTAGCAGCGAGTCCTATTTGGGAATTAAGACATCTAGCTTCTGTTCAGGGTCAGCGACCTGGTACAACTCATACCCTTTCTGGACCTCACTTTTCCCATGTATAGAGGACTAAGTTGAAAGGTGACTTCTAGGCCGGGCGCAGTGGCTCACGCCTGTAACTCCAGCACTTTGAGAGGCCGAGGCAGGAGGGTCGCTTGAGCCCGGGAGGTCGAGGCTGCGGTAGCCGTGATCGCGCCACTGCACTCCAGGTGGGCAACGGAACGCGACTCTGTATCAAAAGAAAAAAAAACAAAGGTGACCTCTAAGTCTTCCTTCAATTCTGACATTCTATGGGTTTAAACCAGGTAATCCTATCCCAAGCCTTCACTGCCTTCTGTGGGGGTTTTTGTTGTTGTTGTTGTTTCTGTTTGGGGTGTTTTTTGTTTTTTTGAGACAGGGTCTCGCTCTGTCGCCTAGGCTGGAGTGCAGTGGCGCGATGTTGGCGCACTGCAACCCTGCAACCTCCACCTGTCGGGCTCAAGTGATCCTCCCACCTCAGCCTTCTGAGTAGCTTGGACTATAGCCACATGCCAACACGCCCGGATAATTTTTATTATTTTATATATATATATGGAGAGACGGGGTCTCACCATGTTGCCCAGGCTGGTGGTAAACTTCTGGGCTCAAGCCTCAGTCTCCCAAATTGCTGGGATTGTAGGCGTGAGCCATGGCGCTGGCCTTCTGTGTCTTTCTATGTCTGCTGGAATTAGGAGACAGAGAATTATTAATTGAATAAGATGACTCTTGAGCCCAGGAGTTCAAGACCAATTTAAGCAACATGAGACCCCCGTCTCTACAAAAAGTTTGGTAAAAATTAGGTGAGCCTGGGCAACATAGTGAGACCTTGTCTCTACAAAAACTCAAATTATCTGGGCGTGGTGGCATGTGCCTGTGGTCCTAACTATTCAGGAGGCTGAGATAGGAGGATCACTTGAGCCTGAGAGGTCGAGGCTACAGTGAGCCAGGATTGTGCTGGTGTACTCCAAACATGGGTGACAGAGCAAGATCTTGTCGCAATAAAATAAAATAAAATAAAATGACTAGGCACGATGGCTAACGCCTGTAATCCCAGCACTTTGGGAGGCCAAGATGGTCAGATCTCTTGAGCTCAGGAGTTTGAGACCAGCCTGGGCAACGTGGAGAATCTTCATCTCTAACAACAACAAAAAACAGTTGGGCATGGTGGTACACGACTGTAGTCCCAGCTATTGGGTTCTGCAAATGAGACCCTGTCTAAAAATAAAATAAAATTGTAAAAAATTAGCCAGACATGGTTGTACACATCTGTGGTCCCAGCTAGTCAGGAGGCTGAGGTGAGAAAATGGCCTCAGCCTGGGAGGTTAAGGCTGCTGTGAGCAATGATCATGCCATTGCACTCTAGCCTGGGCAACAGAGCAAGACTCTGTCTCAAAAAAAAAAAAAAAAAAAAAACAAGGTCGGGTGTGGTGGCTCACGCCTGTAATCCCAGAACTCTGGGAGGCTGAGGCAGGCAGATCATCTGAGGTCAGGAGTTTAAGACCAGCCTACCCAACATGGTGAAACCCCATCTCTACTAAAAATACAAAATAAAAATTAGCTAGGTGGGCGCCTGTAATCCCAGCTATGTGGGAGGCTGAGGCATGAGAATCGCTTGAACCCAAGAGGAGGAGGTTACAGTGAGCGAGATCAAGCCACTGCACTCCAGCCTGGGTGACAAAGCCAGACCCTGTCTCAAAAAAAAAAAAAAAAAAAAAAGTCTGGGCGCAGTGGCTCATGCCTATAATCCCAGGACTTTGGGAGGCCAAGGCAGGTGGATAACCTGAGGTGAGGAGTTCGAGAGCAGCCTGGCCAACATGGTGAAACCCCATCTCTACTAAAAATTCAAAAATTAGCTGGGCGTGATGGTGGCAGCTGTAATCCTAGCTATTCAAGAGGCTGAGGCAGAAGAATCACTTGAACCTGGGAGGTGGAGGTTGCAGTGAGGTGAGGTTGCGCCACGTCACTCCAGCCTAGGTGACAGAGCAACACTCTGTCTCAGAAAAAAAAAAAAGGCCAGGCACAGTGGCTCATGCCTGTAATCCCAGCACTTTGGGAGGCCGAGGCGGGCAGATCACATGAGGTCAGGAGTTCAAGACCAGCCTGACCAGCATGGAGAAACCCCGTCTCTACTAAAAATACAAAAAAAATTAGCTAGGTGTGGTGGCAAATGCCTGTAATCCCAGCTACTTGGGAGGCTGAGGCAGGAGAATTGCTTGAGCCCAGGAGGCAGAGATTGCGGTTAGCTGAGATCACACCATTGCACTCCAGCCTGGGCAACGAGAGCAAAACTCCATTCAAAAAAAAAAAAAAAAAAAAAAGAAATGGAAAAGAAGTGGAGGCATTTACCTAGAAAAACAAATACCTCTTAACCTTCCTAGGAGTGATTCATACTTGTCAGTTTCTAGGTGTGAATCCCAGTGTTGACTCACCTGGGGCCAGAAGAGGCTGAATAGGATGCCAGTCCTCTGTTTCCCCTACCCTGTATCTTTCCCTCTCAGTGCACGTAGACAGTGGCCAGCATACCTGCTGGCCTGCCAACAGCAATAGAGAAAAAAGGGGCACCAACCTGCACCCTCCCTCTTTCTGTCTTCTTTCTCCCTCCCTTTATACACCAGGCATTTACAATGTCTAAGAACAGAGACAGAAAAGACAGACAACCACCTCTACAATATTTCATTCATTTAGCCATCCAGTACTAATTAAGTCCTACCATGTGCCAGGCACCACAAGTCTGCAAAGATGCTCTCAAGGCAGCCCAGTGAGGGAAGCAGATAAGTGTCCAGATAATGATGGCACCTGACAGAAAATAAACTGAGTCCGGCCGGGCGTGGTGGATCACACCTGTAATCCCAGCACTTTGGGAGGCTGAGGCAGGCGTATCATGAGGTCAGGAGATCGAGACCATCCTGGCTAACACGGTGAAACCCGTTTCTACTAAAAATACAAAAAGTTAGCCAGGTGTGGTAGCACACACCTGTAGTCCCAGCTACTTGGGAGGCTGAGGCAGGAGAATCGCTTGAACCCGGGAGGCGGAGGTTGCAGTGAGCAGAGATCACGCCACTGCACTCCAGCCTGGGTGACAGAGCAACACTCTGTCTCAAAAAAAAAAAATAAAGAAAGAAAATAAACTGAGTCCTTTAAGTAGCACAATCCATGCCTGAGGAGTAGAGAGGAGAGGGAATTCAGGTACACTTGAGAAATTCGGAGATTTCATGGCAAATTGAAGCATTTAAGTTAGGCCTTAAAGGCCAGATAGAATGAAGGGTGCCTAAAGTAGTCTGGGCAAAGGCATGGATGCAAGAAATTTCCAGGAATGTTCAGGATCAGTAAGTAGAGCAAAGGGTATATGTAGAGGAGCAGAAGGTGGTAAGTTTGGAGAAACCAGGAAGGAAGAGGCTTGGCTTGGGTTTAACCGTTCTAAGTCTGTAAGAAAAAGTCACTGGCATCCTTGGCAAAGACATCTTTTCTCCTGGGAAAATCAAGGGAAAAGTTAGGATGAATCCTTAGAACCTTGAAGATCAGATTGAAACCTTTTGCCCTTCCCCAGAAACTCATAGTTACAACGAAGGACTCAGATATCTGGGTAACCTCTGAGGCTTCTCTCAATTCTAAGAACGATGTGATGACCATCATATAAAGATGCAATTATCCTGATGACCATGATATAGATAATTTTCCATTCCACCAGATGAATACACAAACACAAAAAGGTACAATAAAATATTAAAAGAGAATATAGAAGAATATTTTCTGAGTTATGGGATGGAAAGAACTTGTCTAATCATAACACCAAATGCAGAAGCCATGAAGGAAATAGTTGACAGATTTGATGATGGCAAAAGACCCCAAACACAAAGTGAAAAGATAAACTGGAAGAAAATATTTGTAACCTATATAACAGAAAAAGTTAGTTTTCCCAGTATACAAATAATTTTACAAATCAGTGTGAAAAATGGAATGATTCAATTAAAAAAAAGTGTGTATAGTTTGCAAGAGGCAATTAGCCAAAGAAGAAATACAAATAGCTAGTGAACGTATGAGAAAATGGTCAATATCACTGATAATTTTTTTTTTTTTTTGAGACAGAGTCTCACTTTGTCGCCCAGGCTGGAGTGCAAAGGCACAATCTCGGCTCACTACAACCTCTGCCTCCTGGGTTCAAGCGATTCTCCTGCCTCAGCCTCCTGAATAGCTGGGATTACAGGCATGCACCACCACATTCGGCTAGTTTTTGTATTTTTAGTAGAGATGGGGTTTCACCATGTTGTTCAGGCTGGTCTCAAACTCCCGACCTCATGATCCTCCCCACCTCGGCCTCCTAAAGTGCTGGGATTACAGGCGTGAGCCACCGCACCGGGCTGATAATGTTTAAAAATGAAACAAGGCTCTAATTTTTACCTAACAAATTGGCAAAAGCTGAAAAGATCAAGTATATCCAATGCTGGGTCTGATGCAGTGGCTCATGCCTATAATCTCAGCACTTTGGGAGGCTGAGGCGGGAGTGAGGCCAGGAGTTTGAGTCCATCCTGGGCAACAGGCCTTGTTCTGTCACCCAGGCTGGAGTGCAGTGGTGCAATCATAGATCACTGCAGCTTCGAACTTCTGGACTTAAGGGATCGTCCCGCCTCAGCCTCCCGGATAGCTGGGACTGGCAGGTACATGCCACCATACCTGGCTAATTTTTATTTTATTTTATTTTATTTAAGTTTTGTTTGTTTGTGTTGTTTTCTTTTGAAATGTAGTCTCGCTCTGTCATCCAGGCTGGAGTGCAGTGACACAATCTCGGCTCACTGCAACCTCTGCCTCCCGGGTTCAAATGATTCCCCTGCCTCAGGCTTCCAAGTAGCTGGGATTACAGGCATGTGCCACCATGCACCGCTTTTTTTTTATATTTTTGGTAGAGATGGGATTTCTCCATGTTGGCTAGGCTGGTCTTGAACTCCTGGCCTCAAGTGATCCACCTCCCACCCCTCCTGAAGTGCTGAGATTATAGGTATGAGCCAGCGCACCCAGCTTGTGGTTTTTTTTTTTTTTTTTGAGACAGGGTTTCAGTCTTCTGTCACCCAGGCTGGAGTGCAGTGGCGTGATCTCAGCTCACTGCAACCTCTGCCTCCCAGGCTCAAGAGATCCTCCCACCTCCATCTCCAGAGTAGCTGGGACCACAAGCACATACCACCATGCCTGACCAATTTTGTGTATTTTTGGTAGAGACAGGGTTTCACCATGTTGCCCAGGCTGGTCTCAAACTCCTGAGCTCAAGCAATCTGCCAGCCTCGGCTTACCAAAGTGCTAAGACTATGGGCATGAGCCATGGCACCCAGCCATTTTTTTTTCTTTTTTGTAGAGTCAGGATCTCGCTATATTGACCAGGCTGGTCTCAAACTCTTGGCCCCAAGTGATCCTGCTGCCGTGGCCTCCCAAAGTGCTGGAATTCCATGCACGAGCTACCATGCTCAGCCCCCCATCTTAATTGATTAAAAAAAATTATTTAATAAAAAAGTATATCCAGCCGGGCATGGTGGCTCACACCTGTAATCCCAGCACTTTGGGAGGCCAAGGCGGGTGGACCACCTGAGGTTGGGAGTTCGAGATCAGCCTGGCCAACATGGCAAAATCCTGTGTCTACTAAAAATACAAAAATTAGCCGGCGTAGTGGTGTGCACCTGTAATCCCAGCATTTGGGAGGCTGAGGCAGGAGAATCGCTTGAACCCAGGAGGCAGAGGTTGCAGTGAGCCAAGATAGCACCACTGCACTCCAGCCTGGGCGACAGAGCAAGACTTTGTCTCAAAAAAATAAATAAATAAAGTGTATCCAATGGTGCATAGATGGATAAACTTTTTTTTTTTTTTTTTTAAAGAAACAGTCTCTCTATGGTGCACAGGCTGGTCTCAAGCTCCTGGTCTCAAGCAATCCTCCCACCTTGACCTCCCAAAGTGCTGGGATTAGGCATGAGCCACCGTGTCTAGCAAAATAAGCATTCTCATACACTGCTGACAACAGTATAAATTGGTAGAATCTTTTCGTGGAGCAATTTGGCAGTAACTATCGCAGTTACAGCAGTATATTGTGGAGTAAAAAGCAAGTTGCAGAATAATGCATATGGTATTTATTTTTGCAAAAAAAAAATGTGTAGAGATAATCTATATATGTGTGTATGTATATATATGTGTATATATGTGTGTATATATATGTGTGTGTGTATATGTGTATATATATGTGTGTGTATATATAAGCATGGATGAAAAACTGAAAGGACACACACTAAATTATTATTTGTGGCTGTGGAGGAAATAGGATTTGGCTGGAGTGGGGCGGGCAGCAGAACTTGGGACTAAAGAAGGAGGGGCGGCCAGGCGCAGTGGCTCACGCCTGTAATTCCAGCACTTTGGGAGGCTGACTTTGGGAGGCCGACTTTGGGAGGCCAAGGTGGGCAGATCACTTGAGGTCAGGAGTTCGAGACCAGCTTGGCCAAAACCCGTCTCTACCAAAAATACAAAAAAAAAAAAAATTAGCCAGGCCTGGTGGCGCGCACCTCTAATCCCAGCTACTCAGGAGGCTGAGACAGGAGAAAAGCTTGAACCCGGGAGATGAAAGTTGCAGTAAGCTGAGATCATGCTGCTGCACTCCAGCCTGGGCGACAGAGCGACACTCTGTCTCAAAAAAAAAAAAAAAAAAAAAAAGGAGAAGAAGAAGGGGAAGTGGAAACCACACAGAAGCGATGCAGCCACTGCTGGGAAATGCCCCATAGCCGGAAGAGGAAGAACTGCCCTGGCTTCTTCTTCCTCTCACCTCCAGTCTTCTTCCAGTGCCTCCCATTGGCTGAATATAGCTAGTATGTGGTTGTCAAAGAAGCTGGGAAATGTAGTTTTCAGAAGAAGAACAGAGAATGAGTCCGAGAACAAAGATGCAATGACCAGCCTCTAAAAAGTGATTTGCTAGGCTAGGTGCAGTGGCTCACGCCTGTAATCCCAGCACTTTGGGAGGCTGAGGTGGGAGGATCACGAGGTCAGGAGATCGAGACCATCCTGGCTAACACAGTGAAACCCCGTCTCTACTAAAAATACAAAAAATTAGCCAGGAGCGGTGGTGGGTGCCTGTAGTCCCAGCTACTTGGGAGGCTGAGGCAGGAGAATGGTGCCAACCCGGGAGGCAGAGCTTGCAGTGAGCCAAGATCATGCCACTTCATCCCAACCTGGGCGACAGCGAGACTCTGTCTCAAAAAAAAATAAAAAAATAAAAATAATTTGGTAGTTCAAAGACTTAATGAAAGGGGCCAGGTGTGGTGGCTCACACCTGTAATCCTAGCACTTTGGGAGGCCAAGATAGGTGGATCACCTGAGGTCAGGAGTTTGAGACCAGCCTGGCCAACATGGTGAAACCCCATCTCTACTAAAAATACAAAAAAATTAGCTGGGCGTGGTGGTGCATGCCTGTAGTCCCAGCTACTTGGGAGACTGAGGCAGGAGAATTGCTTGAACCCAAGAGACAGAGGTTGCAGTGGGCTGAGATCATGCCACTACACTCCAGCCTGGGCAACAGAGCGAGACTCAAAAAAAAAAAAAAAGAATAAGAGAGATGGAGAACCAGATACGAAAAGCAGGAGAAAATTTAGAGAAAAAAAAAAAAAAACACAGCAGGAAGCATAGCAAAAAGTTATCTTGTAAAATAGTAAAAGATAATTTTATTAAGCTTTTTAAAATGGGGTTAGTAGACTGTTGTGGCAGTGGGCCAGAAGACCTCTGTGCATAGTAATTCATTCAGCTAATTAATGTACTTAGGTCTACTATACACCAAGCTCTGTGCTGCAGTGGGAGCAAAGGTTAAACAAGACCAGGCTTCAGCCATCAAAACTCTCAGGAGGAAGACAAACTTGTAAGACACACAATTACAATAGAGTTAAATCATATCAGTGAGCTCAGGGACAAGGCCTGCCACTAGGCTAAACTGTACCTTTGTGCATGATAGGAAAAGGCACCCTCCCTAAGAGGTTGCAGTGCCAGGATATACAGCTTGGCAAGCTGAGTGCAGCTGGATTTCAGTCCTCCCTGGTCCCTGAGCCAGGCACTTTTGTACAGAGTATAAAGGACACATCCATACTTGGCTTTCTTGCTTGAGGAGGAAGAGACTGGCACCTATGGAAGGAGGGTAGAATCATCCTTTGAGGATGTGCATCTGTGCAGCAGGAAGCCCTAGGACACCAGTTTCCTAGCCCAGAACATCATGGGAAACTTCAGTGGCTTCAGTTGCTTCTGGAGCTGCTGTGACAAGGAGTTGGCAAAGGAAACTCCCAGAAATTTGGAAAGGCTCCTTTGGAAGGAAAAATTGACAGATGGTGTTTATAGTTTTGCTTTGGTTCTCCTATCGGAGTGAATCCCAGATGTTTTCTTCCATTTCCAAGATAGTGTTAGATTGAAAAGGCTCCTTTGCCCAAAAATAATGAAATGTCAGTATACACAGTTAAGTGTGGGCACATGGACAAGTGAATCCTGTGCCAGGTCAGCAAAGTGTGATTTGCTGCTGTGTGAATCCAAGGTTTGGAGTTACCATTCTAGATTTCTCTTTTTATTTGTATTTATTTTTTGAGATAGGGTCGTGTTCTGTCACCCAGGCTGGAGTGCAGTGGCATGATCACAGCTCACTGCAGCCTTAACCTCCTGCCCTTAAGCAATTCTCCTGCCTTAGCATCCCAAATAGCTGGAACTACAGACATGTGCTGCCACATCCAGCTAATTAAAAAATAATGATAATAATAATTCTGGCCAGGCGCAGTGGCTCACGCCTGTAATCCCAGCACTTTGGAAGGCCGAGTAGGGTGGATCACCTGATGTCAGGAGTTCGAGACCAGCCTGACCAACGTGGAGAAACCCTATCTCTACTAAAAATACAAAATTAGCTGGGCGTGGTGGCACATGCCTGTAATCCCAGCTACTGGGGAGGCCGAGGCAGGAGAATCGCCTGAACCCAGGAGGCAGAGGTTGCAGTGAGCCGAGATCACGCCATTGCACTCCAGCCTGGGCAACAAGAGCGAAACAAACAAAAAAAATTGTGAAGATGAAGTCTCATTATGTTGCCTTACTTGAGTTTTCTTAAAAACATTTTTTTACACAAAACACATGAATTCTTTCCCATTGTAAATGATTCAGACACTAGAAAGTGTATTTTAGATCCAGGTGCAGTGGCTCACACCTGTAATCCCAGCACCTTGGGAAGCCAAGGCAGGCAGATTACTTGACACAGGAGTTCGAGACCAGCCTGAGCAATATAGTAAGATTCCCGACTCTACAAAAATACAAAAAATTAGCCGGGCATGGTTACACATACCTGTAGTCCCAGCTACTCGGGAAGCTGAGGTGGGAGAATCGGTTGAGCCCAGGAGGTCGAGGCTGCAGTGAGCTGGGATCACACTACTGCACTTTAACCTGGGCAACAGAGTGACACTCTGTCTCAAAAAAAAAAAGGAAGAGAAAAAAAAAGAAAGTGTATTTTAGGGATGTTGTGGTGTGTGTGGTGTGCTCCTCAGATCTCTCCTCTTCTGAACTGCTGAAACCCTTACTCTCCCAGCTGCTGGGAATGTTAAGGGCTGTCAGCTGGCAGTTAAGCACCCCACACAACCCTGCCGTGCGCGGTAGCTCGCACCTGTAATCCCAGCACTTTGGGAGGCCGAGGCAGGCAGATCACCTGAGGTCGGGAGTTTGAGACCAGCCTGACCAAAATGGAGAAACCCCATCTCTACAAAAAAATACAAAATTAGGCCAGGCGCGGTGGCTCATGCCTGTAATCCCAGCACTTTGGGAGGCTGAGGCGGGCGAATCACCTGAGGTCAGGAGCTGGAGAGCAGCATGGCCAACATGGTGAAACCCCGTCTCCACAAAATATACAGAAAAATTAGCCAGGCGTGGTGGTGGGCGCCTGTAATCCCAGCTACTCGGGAGCCTGAGGTAGGAGAATCGCTTGAACCCGCAAGGCAGAGGTTGCAGTGAGGCAAGATTGCGCCATTGCACTCCAGCCTGGGCAACAAGAGTGAAACTCTGTCTCAAAAAAAAAAAAAAAAAAAAAAAAGGCCCGGCACAGTGACTCACACCTGTAATCCCAGCACTTTGGGAGGCCAAGGCAGGTGGATCACGAGGTCAGGAGATCGAGACCATCGTGGCTAACACAGTGAAACCCCGTCTCTACTAAAACTACAAAAAATTAGCCGGGCGCAGTGGCGGGCGCCTGTAGTCCCAGCTACTCAGGAGGCTGAGGCAGGAGAATGGCTGAACCCGGGAGGCAGAGCTTGCAGTGAGCCGAGATCGCGCCACTGCACTCCGGCCTGGGCAAAAGAGCAAGACTCCATCTCAAAAAAAAAAAAAAAAAAAAGCACCCCACACAACCTTGGCTGAGAAGAGCTGCCTCATTTAAAGTCATGCCCATGGTAACCCACATTCAAAGACTGATTAGTACAGGGTTATAAAGACCCCGTTACCCTGGCCCCAGTGAGGGAAAGTTTTACAGGGCTATCTTAGGTCCAGTGCTCTGCATGGAATTGACTGAGACTTTTTTGTGAATGCCCTGCAACCTAACCTTGCTTCTTTCACTCTCCCAAGGATGGTGATCCTAAAAGCACTCTTCAGTAAACTTTCTGGATTCAAATCTCTGCTTCTCTGCTTCCTGGGGAACCCAATTTACAATAATTGGTACCAGGAGTGATCCAAGAAAGTAAACCCTAAAATGAAATTTGGGAGTCACTCAGCAGTCGGTTGACAATGAGGATATCATCACTAGTGATAGGTGAAACACTGTTAGCCCCTAGCATGTGATAGTAATACAGTTGTTAAAAATTTCAGCAGTGGTTAATGGAGATGTTTTACCCAAGGAAAGAATACATGGGAGGGTGGAGGAACACATGTATTAGGCATTTGAGAAGTAATAGGATGTTTGTTGTTGGGGATAATAGATCCTTTGAAGAAAGACAATGAAGATTAAGTGTGAAAGTCGAAGGGCCTTCTTGGCAGTATATAAAGATACTATCATCTCCTACAGCCAAAGGGCAGAAAAACCTGAGGATCAGACCTAAAACATAATTATAAAATTTGCAGAGCTCTAGAGAGGTTGAATTCTCAGCCCTGAAAGGTTAGCTACCAAGGTTAGAGTCCTGACTGAGAAAGAGCAAAAATGGGAGGCCAGGCATGGTGGCTCATGCCTGTAATCCTAGCACTTTGGGAGGCCAAAGCTGGAGAATCACTTGAGCCCAAGAGTTCAAGACTAGCCTGAGCAACATGGTGAAACCCTGTCTTTACAAAAAATTACCAGGGCATGGTGGCATGCACGTGTGGTTCCAGCTACCTGGGAGACTAAGGTGGGAGGACTGATTCAGCCCAGGAGGTCAAGGCTGCAGTGAGCCTCAATCACTCCACTGCACTCCAGCATGGGTGACAGAGTGGGACCCTGTCTCAAAAGAAAGAAAGAAGAAGATGGGAGACATGGGATGGCAATATCTGGGTCGACATACTTGAACAATCATTAACTTCCAGTCTTTCCTGTACCTCTGGGCCTTCGCAAGTGGCCGGATGTAGTTTAGATATTTGTCCCCACCCAAATCTCATGTTGAATTGTAATCCCCAATGCTGGAGGAGGGGCCTGCTGGGAGGTGTTTGTATCATGAGGGTGGATCCCTCATGGCTTGGTGGGTGCAGTCTTCGTGATAGTGAGTTCTCATGAGAGCTGGTCATTTAAAAGTGTGTGCACCTCGCCGCCACTTTCTCTTTCTCTTGTTTCCATTCTAGCCATGTGATGTCCCTGCTCCCCCTTTGCCTTATGCCATGATTGGAAGCTTCCTGAGGCCTCCCCAGAACAGATGCTGCTATGCTTCCTGTACAGCCTGCATAACCATGAGCCATTAAACATCTTTTTTTTTTTTTTTTTTTGAGATGGAGTCTCGCTCTGTCACCCAGGCTGGAGTGCAGTGGTGCAATCTCGATTCACTGCAAGCTCCACCTCCTGGGTTCACACCATTCTCCTGCCTCAGCCTCCCAAGTAGCTGGGACTACAGGCTCCCGCCACCAGGCCCGGCTAATTTTTTGTATTTTTAGTAGAGGCGGGGTTTCACCATGTTAGCCAGGATGGTCTCGATCTCCTGACCTCGTGATCCACCCACCTCGGCCGCCCAAAGTGCTGGGATTACAGGCATGAGCCACCATGCCCGGCCTAAACATCTTTTCTTGTAAATTATTCAGTGTCAGGTATTTCTTTTTTTTTTTTAAGTTCAGGGGTACATGCGCTGGATATGCAGGTTTGTTACATAGATAAACGTGTGCTGTGGTGGTTTGCTGCACAGATCATCCTATCACCTAGGTATTAAGCCCAGCATCCATTAGCTATTCTTCGTGATGCTCTCCCTCCTCCCTGCCAGGTATTTCTTTAGAGCAGCGCAAGAAGGACCCAACACATTGCCCATTCCTCTTTGTTAAAGCTTAGCATTCCTCCTTGCTTGAAGACAATGTAAAAATACCTGCCTTACAAGACAGGTGCCTGTTTACCTGGGCATGGTGGTGTGCACCTGTAATCCCAGCTACTCAGGAGGCAGAAGCCGGATAATCACTTGAACATGGGAGGTCGAGGCTGTAGTGAGCCGAAATTGCGCCACTGCACTCCAGCCTGGGTGACAGAGCAAGATCCTGTCTCAAAAAAAAAAAAAAAAAAAAAAAGATAGGTGCCTTGCCATCTGGATCTACTTTAAAGTCCCAACCTAATCATTGGACCAATAACTAAAATTAAATAACAACATGAATGACCAGGACATGCCGAAGGAGGAAAGAGACTATAGCTAAAGGAGCTGTAGAACATAACCAATATGTACTGACAAATGGCAGGAGAATATTCATGGGACTGGATTCTGAGGATTCCAATTCTCAACCAAAATAGGGAGAGGTTATCAACTTGGAACACAGGATTTAACACCCTGACAAGGACCCTGAGAAATAGTGCTAACATATTCTTAGGATGGGTCTTATGAGCTTAGAGAAAGTGATGGGCTGTAATAAATAAATAGAAATATCAGACCGGGCAGCTCATACCTCTAATACCAGCTCTTTGGGAAGCTAAGGTGGGTGGATCACTTGAGGAGTTTGAGACCAGCCTGGCCAACATGGTGAAACCCCATCTCTACTAAAAATACAAAAATTAGGCTGGGCGCGGTGGCTCACGCCTGTAATCCCAGCACTTTGGGAGGCCGAGGTGGGTGGATCAAGAGGTCAGGAGATTGAGACTATCCTGGCTGACACGGTGAAACCTCACCTCTACTAAAAATACAGAAAATTAGCCGGGCGCCGTGGCAGGTGCCTGTAGTCCCAGCTACTCGGGAGGCTGAGGCAGGAGAATGGCGTGGACCCGGGAAGCAGAGCTTGCAATGAGCCAAGATCGCGCCACTGCACTCTGTCTGCCTAGGCGACAGAGCGAAACTCTGTCTCAAAAAAAAAAAAAAAAAAACAAACAAATAAAAATACAAAAATTAGACCGAGCGTGGTGGCTTATGCCTCTTATCCCAGCGCTTTGGGAGGCTGAGGTAGGTGGATCACCTGAGGTCAGGAATTTGGGACCAGCCTGGCCAACATGGGGAAACCTCGTCTCTACTAAAAATACAAAAAAAATTATCTGGGCAAGGTGGCGCATACCTGTAATCCCAGCTACTGGGGAGGCTGAGGCAGGAGAATCACCTCAACCCAGGAGGCAGAGCTTGCTGTGAGACGAGATCACGCCATTGCACTCCAGCCTGGGCAACAAGAGTGAGACTCTGTCTCAAGCGAACAAACAACAACAAACAAACAAAAAATTAATGGGGAGTAGTGGCTTGCACCTGTAATCCCAGCTACTTGGGAGGCTGAGGCAGGAGAATTGCTTGAACCCAGGAGGGTGAGGTTGCAGTAAGCCGAGATCACACCACTGCACTGCAGCCTGGGTGACAGAGTGAGACTCTGTCTCAAAAAAAAAAAAAAAAAAAAAAAGAGGCCGGGTACAGTGGCTCATGCCTATAATCCTAGCACTTTCGGAGGCTGAGGCGGGTGGACCACCTGAGGTCAGGAGTTCAAGCCTGGCCAACAAGGTGAAACCCCATCTCTACTAAAAATACAAAAATTAGCCAGGCGTGGTGGCAGGCACTTGTAATCCCAGCTACTCAGGAGGCTAAGGCAGGAGAATCGCTTGAACCTGGGAGGTGGAGGTTGCAGTGAGCCGAGATTGCACCATTGCACTCCAGCCTGGGCAAAAACAGCAAAATTCCATCTCAGAAAAAAAAAAAAAAAAAGAAATATCAGAACTGCTATAGGAGATGGTGCAAGTAGGGATCAAAAGACTAAAAGAAGAGGAAAGTTAGAATGGATATACCGTGTAAAACCAGGAAACTTACCAAATGACTTTTCCACAGAAGAGCTCCAAGGAATTCTCTGATGAAAGTGACATTGGAGGGGCTGGGCACGGTGGCTCACACCTGTAATCTCAGCCCTTTGGGAGGCCAAGGTGGGTGGATCACTTAAGCTCAGGAGTTCAAGACCAGCCTAAGCAATACAGTGAGACCCCATCTCTACTAAAAATACAGAAAAAATAGCCAGGCATGGTGGTACATGCTTGTGGTCTCAACTACTCAGGAAGCTAAGATGGGAGGATCAATTGTGCCTAGGGGTGGACAGAGGTTGCAGCAAGCCGAGATCATGCTACTGCACTCCAGCCTGGGTGACAGAGTGAGCCCCTGTCTCAAAAAAAGAAAAGTGATATTGGTATTACTGAGAAGCTCAGTGGTAGCTGCCCTTGTGGTTTCAGAACAGGGCACCTTGATAGCAATGGGAATAATAGTATCTTAAAATAATAGAGGCCAGAGAGCAGCATGTAACCATCAGAAGCAAATAGTTGCAATTACAATGATCTATGAAGTTGGAACAGCAGCCAGAGGGTCCTGACCTGCAGAGAGCGATGGAGATGGCTAATAGTTCATGATGTTCTTAAAGGTGAGATGGCCAACAAGGATATTACTCAACCTAGACAATTAAAAGGAACCCAGGCTAGATGATCAAGAAGCTGAGTCATGATTCATTGCTCAGCTTCTGGATCACAACCAGTCTTCAGACCTGCAACCCAGTGACTGAAGCAGCTGCCAGGTCTCCAGAAGGAGGACCCCGTGACACTCTAATAAATGTATTTGGCAATGATTCCTCCAGTCCTTCCTCAAAAAGGTCCACTAGTATTTGTTTGGGCCCCCAAACGCAGTGGAAAGAGCAATATTACCCAAGCAATACAAGGACTGTTGGACACAAGGTCTGAAATGAAATTGATACCAGTATGGGACTCAAAGCATCCTCAGGATCCCCCCTTTAGAGTTGGGGCATATGGAGACCCTGTAATAAATGGACTCCTGGCCAGGAGCAGTGGCTCACACCTGTAATCCCAGCACTCTGGGAGGCCGAGACAGATGGATCACCTGAGGTCAGGAGATTGAGACCATCCTGGCCAACACAGTGAAGCCCAGTGCCTACTAAAAATACAAAAATTAGCTAGACGTGGTGGTGCGTGTCTATAGTCCCAGCTACTTGGGAGGCTGAGGCAGGAGAATTGCTTGAACCCGGGAGGCGGAGGTTGCAATGAGCCGAGATCATGCCACTGCACTCCAGCCTGGCGACAGAATGAGACTCCGTCTCATAAATAAATAAATAAATAAATAAATAAATAAATAAATAAATAAATGAGTCCTGGCCCAGGTTCAGTTCACAGGGAATCTACTGTGCACACAGACACACCCAGTGGTTATGTCCCTGGTTGCCAAATACATGAATAAAATCAACATACTTGGCTGTTAAAAGAACTAACACATTGGCCCTATGACCTGTGAGGTAAGTGCTAACGTCATGAGAAAGACCAAATAGAAGCCTCTGAAACTTCTCCCTACCCCAGCAAGATAGCAATCAAAAACAAGATTGCATCTTATGGGTAGTGAAAGAGATCAATGGTACTCTTAATGATTTAAGAGATGCAGAGGTAAGGCCAAGGCAGGCGGATCACAAGGTCAGGAGATTGAGACCATCCTGGCTAACACGGTGAAACCCCGTCTCTAATAAAAATACGAAAAAAAAAAATTAGCTATGCGTGGTGGCGGGCGCCTATAGTCCCAGCTACTCTGGAGGCTGAGGCAGGAGAATGGTGTGAACCTGGGAGGCGGAGCTTGCAGTGAGCCGAGTTGGCGCCACAGCACTCCAGCCTGGGCAACAGAGCGAGACTCCATCTCAAAAAAAAAAAAAAAAAAAAAAAAAAAGATGCAGAGGTAATAGTCCCTATCATAATTTCTTTTGGTTCAACAGAATCCTAGATAGATTCTGGAGGATGTCCAGTAGACTATGACACACTCAAAAAAGTAGTAGCTGCAATTGCAGGTGCCAGATTTAGTATCTTTGCTAAAGCAGATTAACGTTACCTCAAATACATGGTATGTGTGATATGTGACCATTAATCTGGTAAAGGCATTCTTTTCCATCTCTAAAGGAGGATCAGAAACAGTTAACTGTCACTTGGAATGGACAGTAGCATACATATATAGTCTTGGCCCAGAGCTATGTTAATTTCATGCCCACTATTATAATATATTCTGAGGCTGTGTGTGGCTCATGCTTGTAATCTCAGCAATTTGGGAGGCCGAGGCAGGAGGATCACTTGAGCCCAGGAATTCAAGGCCAGCCTGGACAACATGGCAAAACCCTGTCACTACAAAAAAAAAAAAAAATTAAAAATTAGCCAGGCATGGTGGTATGGGCCCAGCTACTTGGAGGCTACTTGGGAGTCCATAGCTAGCTACTAGGGAGGCTGAGGTAGGAGAATCACCTGAGCCCAGGAAGTCAAGGTTGCTGTGAGCTATGATCATGCCACTGTACTCTAGCCTGGTTAACAGAGCAAGACCCTGTCTCAAAATTGGTAGATAGATAGATAGATAGATAGATAGATAGATAGATAGATAGATAGGGTTTCACCATGTTGGTCTGGCTGGTCTTGAACTCCTGATCTCACCTGCCCTGCCTCGGCCTCTATTTAAAAAAAAAAAAAATAGTGATGGGGTCTCGCTCTCTTGCCTAGGCTGGTCTTGAACTCCTGGACTCAAGCGATTCCTTCCCACCTCGGCCTCCCCAAATGCTGGGATTACAGGCATGAGCCACTGTGCCTGGCCTAGAGAATATATATATATTCTGAAGGGACTTTAATCATCTGGATACACCACAGAACATCACATTGTTGCCGGTATGGAGGACAGAAAAGTAATCAGACTGGATGTGTAAAAAATGGCAAATTCATTGGAAGTCTTTTAAAGATATATGTGCTTTCAAATGTGGGAGATCAACTTTATGAAGGCTCAAAGGTCCACCACAACAGTTAAGTTTTTTTTTTTTTTGTCTGTTTTGGTTTTTTCGAGACAGAGTCTCACTCTGTCGCCCAGGCTGGAGTGGAGTGGGGCCATCTCGGCTCACTGCAACCTCTGCCTCCCGGGTTCAAGCGATTCTCCTGCCTCAGCTTCCCAAGTAGCTGGGATTACAGGAGTGCACCATGCCTGGCTAATTTTTGTGTTTTTAGTAGAGACAGGGTTTCATCATGTTGGCCAGGCTGGTCTTGAACTCCTGACCTCAGGTGATCCACCCGCCTCGGCCTCCCAAAGTGCTGGGATTACAGGTGTGAGCCACCGCGCCCGGCTAACAGTTAAGTTTTGGGTAGTCTAGTAGTTTGGGAAATGCTGGGACATTCCCTTCAAAGTAAAAGACAAATTACAATATTGCATCTCTCATTCCCCACACTCTCAACTAAGGTGTCTTTGTTCTGGAGGCAGAGTATTAGTCCTTACTTGGGAATATCACTCTAATCCATATACTGGGTGACACAAAAGGCTGCCAGCTTCGAGTGGGTCCAGGATAAGTGACGTGCTCAGCAGCAGCTCCAGGCTGGGATGCAAATGGTCCTACTGTTTGAACCATAGAACCCAGCAGAACCTATGGTGGTGGCTGCTATAGTCTGAATGTTTGTGTCCCTACAAAATTTACATTGAAACTTAATCTCCAGGGAGTGGGGCCTTTAGGAGATAATTAAGTCATGAGGTCTCCTCCCTCATAAATGGGATTAAGACCCTTATAAAAGAAGCTTCACAGTGTTCAGTCCTTTTTGCCCTTCCTCCTTTCACCATGTGAGGACATAGCAAGAGGCATCATCTTGGAATCAGACAGCAACCCTCACCAGACACCAGACACGCTGGCTCCATGATCTTGGACCTCCCAGCTTCCAGAACTGTGGGAAATAAATTTCTGTTCTTTATAAATTACCCAATCTCAGGTATTTTATTAAAGCAGAACAAACACACTAAGACAGTGGCAAAAGGCATCATGTGGAGTTTCTGACAAGCTCCGATAAGAGAATCACAACCTAGACCCCTAGGGTTCCACAGTAAGGCTATGATATCTGCAGCAGATAATTACAAATTTTTTAAAAAATGAGGCTGGGCGAGGTGGCTCACGTCTGTAATCCTAACACTTTGGGAGGTTGAGGCAGGGCAGGTGGATCATTTGAGATCAGGAGTTCAAGACCAGCCTGACCAACATGGTGAAACCCCATCTCTACTACAAATACAAAAATTAGCCAGGCGTGGTGGCGTGTACATGTAATTCCAGCTACTCAGGAGGCTGAGGCATGAGAATTGCTTGAACCTGGGAGGTGGAGGTTGCAGTGAGCTGAGATTGCTCCCCTGCACTCCAGCCTGGGTGACAGAGTGAGGCTCTGTCTCAAAAAATAAAATAATCAGCATCTGACCATGGCAAAGATGAAGTGCCTGACTGTAGGACATCAACCACATGGACAATACAATCCTTCATAAATTCTGTTTCTCAGGCCGGTGTGGTGGCTCAAACCTGTAATCCCAGCACTTTGGGAGACCCAGGCGGGTGGATTGCTTAAGACTAGGAGTTCAAGACCAGCCTGGCCAACATGGTGAAACCCCATCTCTATTAAAAATACAAAAAATTAGCCGGGCGTGGTGGCACATGCCTGTAATTCCAGGTACTTGGGAGGCTGAGGCACGAGAATCGCTTGAACCTGGGAGGTGAAGGTTGCAGTGAGCCAAGATTGCACCATTGCACTCCAGCCTGGGCAACAGAGTGAGATTCTGTCTCAAAAAAAAAAAAAAGTTTTGTTTCTCAGACTCACCACATCATAAGGTGGATGGGCCAGCAGCAATCTGTCGCAATGCAGAAGTGGTACATTCAGGAGCAGACACAAATACAGCTAAAGTGTATAAGCTGCAGGTGGCACGAGCCCCCAGTCATCTACTGCTCTTACCTTAGCACCTCTTAGCTTATATCTATTGCCATATATGCTCTTGTGGCCAGCTAACAGAGGAGGTTGGCTCGGTGGGTGAGAAAACGCAAGCAGAAAATAGGACATAGTGAGGACCCTGAAAGACAAGGTGTTAAGAAGCAATCCTCCTAACTGGGAAGCTTTGGCAAATGCACCATCTAATTTTGGTGAATAAAAGTAGCCTGAGGTTAGGATATATTCAGAATCATGGATAGTGGTGAGTGACTGGTTGGTTGGTTAGAGGCCTTGAATGAGAAAGACTGGAAACATTGGGAATAAGGAGATCTAAGGACAAAGAATTCCAAGTGAACATATAGGAAGGGGCATGAGTATGAAGATCTTTGTATCACATGTGTATTTGTTTGCTAGGGTTGCCATAACAAAATACTATAGACTGGATGGATTAAACAATGTAAATCTATTTTCTCACAGTTCTGGAGGCCAGAAGTCCAAGGTCAAGGTGTCAGGAGGTTTGGTTTCTTCTCAGGCCTCTCTCCTTAGCTTTCGCCTTCTCACTGTATCCTCAACTCTATGCCTTTTCTCTGTGCACTCACGTCTCTGGTATCTCTGTGTGTCCAGATTTCTTCCTTATAAGGCCTCCAGTCAGATTGCATTAGGATCTTTAATCACCTACTTAAAGGCCCTTTCTCCAAATACAGTCACATTCTGAGGTAAGTGGGGTGGTTAGGACTTCAACATAAGAACTTGGAGGGGCGGGGCACAATTCAGTTCGTAACAACATGTTAAGGCATACCAGAGAGAATGCACCACATAAGAGGCACTGAACAGCCAAGTAAACAAAATGACTCAGCTAGTTGATGATAGCCTGTGTCATTAACCCCCCCAGAGCAGGCACAGTGCGCACATGAACAAAGTAGCCATACTGGCAGGAATGCAGGCTTTTTGTAGGTCCAGGGCCATGAATTCCCATTCACCACAGCTTCCCCATTTCTCCAAATTGCGTGTCAAACAGATTTCTTTACACTGGAACCAAAGTGTATGAAGGTAGCTGTTTTGCTGTATTCTTGCCGACATTTAAAATTTTTTTGATTTTGCTAAAAAAAAAAAAAGAGAGAGAGAGACAGAGTCTTGCTCTGTCGCTGAGGCTGGTGTGTACTGGCCCAATCATAACTTTCTGCAGCCTCAAATTCTGGGACTTAAGTGATCCTTCTGCCTCAGCCTCCAGAGTAGCTGTGACTACAGGCATGCACCACCATGCCCAGCTAATTTTTTAGTTTTTTGTAGAGACAGGGATCTTGCTATGTTGCCCAGGCTGGCCTCAAACTCCTGAATTCAAGTGATCCTCCCACCTTGACCTCCCAAAGCACAGGGTTACAAGCGTGAGCCATCCTACCAAGCCAATGAATGGTTTTTCATTGGATTTTAATTTGTATTTCCTTATGCTGTATATTTCTTGTGTTTATTGACCATTTGTGAATTGCTTGTTATTATCCTCTGCCCATTTTACCACTGGGTTGTTTCCTTTTTTCTTATATATTTGAAGGAGCTGGCATATTCCATACATTATCCTTCTGTTAAATGTATTTAAAAAGATCTCTCCTTGCCATTTACCTTTTAAGTCTTATGGTGTCCACCTTCATTTTTTCCCCCTTTCTTTACTCCAACCCAATTAAATTAATTATTAAAAGTTTTTCAAAAATGAAATCCTAAGTTCCTCTAATAGTTGGTACTGGACTTGCCCTCTGGTGATAAAGAATGAGAAAAGTAGACAAATTTATATGAAATACCTATTCTCAGACACTGGACAAGGAGTACAGGACTCTGTTCCCTGAGAGAAGAAAAAAGCAAGTAAGATGAGCCTAAAAACACTTTGGCTTTCTGCCTGTAGACAGTTTCTAGGCTTCTGCTCAGGGTGAGGAAATCCAAGCAGAACATAGCAGTGTTCATGGGGTGAGGAAGCAGAGATCAAGTTTGAGGAAACTAAGGCAGCTGGGATTTTGGGGGCAATTTTGCCAGAGAAGAGCTATATGAAAAAGAGGATCAGAAATGTATTGTGGTCCCACTGAGTCTGATGCCGAACACTAAGCCACATGTAAATAGAGTGAAATTCCATAACGCTGGTCAACATGCTTGTCAAAGATAAACAAATAAACTAGTTACAGTGGTAAGGACACCTATTCATCAGTAATATTCCTTTGCAATAGGGAAGAGGGTGCAGTATGAACTAAACTCAGCTTCCATTTTTAGAGGTAACTAGGCCTTATAAAGAGAGAAAGACATATGATGTTAGTTGTGGGCTTAAAAAAAACATTTAGGCCAGGTGGGGTGGCACACACCTGTAATCCCAGCATTTTGGGAGGCCAAGGCAGGTGGATCACCTGAGGTCAGGAGTTCGAGACCACCATGGCCAACATGGTGAAACCCCATCTCTACTAAAAATACAAAAATTTAGCCAGGCATGGTGGCGGGTGCCTGTAATCCCAGCTACTCAGGAGACTAAGGCAGGAGAATCGCCTGAACCTGGGAGGCAGAGGTTGCAGTGAGCCGAGATCGTGCCATTGCACTCCAGCGTGGGCAACAAGAGTGAAACTCCGTCTCAAAAAAATAAATAAATAAAAATAATCGGTTTGCCGGGCATGGTGGCTCACGCCTGTAATCCCAGCACTTTGGGAGACCGAGGCAGGTGGATCACAAGGTCAGCAGATCAAGACCCGCCTGGCCAACATAGTGAAACCCCATCTCTACTAAAAATACAAAAATTTACCTGGGCATGGTGGTAGGCACCTGTAATCCCAGCTACTCAGGAGGCTGAGGCAGAAGAATTGCTTGAACCCGCGAGGTGGAGGTTGCAGTGAGCTGCGATTGCGCCACTGCACTCCAGCCTGGGTGACAGTGCCAGACTCCGTCTCAAAAAAAAAAAAAAAAAATTGGTCAGGCGCGGTGGCTCATGCCTGTAATCCCAGCACTTTGGGAGGGTGAGGTGGGTGGATCGTTTGAGGTCAGGAGTTCAAGACTAGCTGGCCAACGTGGCAAAACCCCATCTCTACTGAAAATACAAAAATTAGCTTGGCGTGGTACACCCAGCTACTCAGGAGGCTGAGGCAGGAAAATCACTTGAACCCGGGAGGCGGAGGTTGCAGTGAGCCAAGATCACGCCACTGCACTCCAGCCTGGGTGACACAGGAAGACTCTGTCTCAAAAATAATAATAATAATAAATTAAAAAATAAAGACAAAGACTGAGTTGTGGGATAGAACAGAGGGCGCTGAGTCAGGAAAAATTACAAAGGGTTGGTTGGTGTAAATGCCAATTAGGCCACCTTTGTCTGTTAATTGGCAATTAACGAGTTAGAATTCTATCCTCCCAGAGAGACTAGGGGACAGAGGCCCTATCCTTTCCAATGATTACATTTCAATGGAATAGCTTTCAGGTCCTTGAGAAAGACACTCCTAAATTATGGGAGATACATATATCTTTCAAAGGCACAGAGGAAGGATCCACAATTCTAAGCCCTTTTAAGTAAATGCTCTAAGAAATGGTGGTCAGGAACCTATCTGTAGGTGCTGCTTTTTTAGCTTCCTTGGGCAGACACTTTAAGCCAGCAGGTGGGGCTAGGCTAAGGTCATCCTAGGAATGCAGACATCAGGTATTAGAGATTATGTTAGTGTGTATTTAAGTCTTTTAAAAATGGGGGGGAATTTTTTTGTTTGTGGTCCTTTTTTTTTTTTTTTTAAGACGGAGTTTTGCTCTTGTTGCCCAGGCTGAAGTGCAATGGCACAATCTTGGCTCACTGCAACCTCTGCCTCCTGGGTTCAAGTGATTCTCCTGCCTCAGCCTCCCAAGTAGCTGGGATTACAGGCATGTGCCACCACGTCCAGCTAATTTTGTATTTTTAGTAGAGATGGGGTTTCTCCATGTTAGCCAGGTGTGGTGGTGCGTGCTTGTAATCCCAGCTACTCAGGAGGCTGAGGCAGGAGAATCACTTGAACTCAGGAGGCTGAGTTTGCAGTGAGCTAATATTGTGGTACTGCACTCCAGCCTGGGCAAAAGAATGAGACTCCATCTCAAAAAGAAAAAAAAGCCAGGCACGGTGGCTCACACTTGTAATCCCAGCACTTTGGGGGGCCAAGGCGGGCAGATCACAAGGTCAAGAGATCGAGACCATCCTGGCCAACATGGTGAAACCCCGTCTCTACTAAAAATACAAAAATTAGCTGGGTGTGGTGGCGTGCACCTGTAGTCCCAGCTACTTGGGAGGCTGAAGCAGGAGAATCACTTGCAGTAAGCCAAGATCGCGCCACTGCACTCCAGCCTAGTGACAGAGTGAGACTCCGTCTCAAAAAAAAAAAAAAAAAAGTCTAAAAAAACCTCTTTTACATTAAAAGAGGCTTAAGGAACATAGCACCTGGATTCTAAGATTTGAAGTGTCATCTGTGGTTGGATCCTAGTTTGGACAGAATGCATGTATAAGTAATTTTTGGTACAGTTGGAGAAATTTGAGTAGAAATTAGGAATTAAATCTTTTTGACTATGTAATTTACGAGAGTTAAGAATGTCTACAGTTATTTTAAAACACTTCAGCATAAAAAACTTGAAAGGGAAAAAAATCATTGACTAAAATCCATAGACTAACATGACTTGAACTGACTAAAATTAAAAAGAAATGTTGACTTGTTTCTAAAGCAATTACCGCTTTTCTAAAATCATTACAATGTTAAATTTAATTTTTTAGAATTATTGGTTAAAAAATTTTTAAAGAATAAAAAATAAAGTAAATGAAATTATTGGTTTAAGCTGTGTGCAGCGGCACAAGTCAGTAGTTTCAGCTACTTGGGAGGCTGAGGTGGAAGGACTGCTTGAGACAAGGAATTCAAGGCTGCAGTGTTCCATAATCATACCTGTGAAAAGCCACTACACTCTAGGCTGGGTAACATAGTGAAACCCTGTATCTAAAATAAATTAATTTTAAAAAGTAAAAGACAAGAACCAGGTAGCTACAGAGATCTAGATGGCAAAAACTATTAGATAGTCTTTTCAGAATGACACCTGGGATGAATCAGCTCCAGCCATTTTCCATCTCCATTTCACCCCCAAAAGGATTCGAATTACAGGCAACAAGGGTCTGGCTAGCCTAACTTGGGTAATATGACCACTTGGCTGGAGAAGTAGGGAATCTTGACTGACAGTTTTAGCATTAGAGTGTGCAGAAGAGGAAAGGCACTTCCCTAAAGAAAAAATCAAATTATGCTACCAGAAAAAGGAAAAATTAGATTCTAGAATAGGCAAAAAAAAAAAAAAAAATAGATTTCACAACTTCACATGTGTTTGGCATACACATACATCATTTCATTTACTCTTCATAATAACCCTATGTAGTAGGTATTAACATCTCGGAGAAAGGCTCAGAGAGGTTCTGTAACTTATCCAAGATCACAAAGCAACTTGGCAGCATAGCCAGCATTTGAACTCAGTTCAAAATCCTACTTTCAAAACCCATGCTTTTTCTGTTACACCATGTGTGTAGTAGGAAAAATAAACTAAACGAACTGTTTTCTCCTACTATACTCTTAACATAGAACACTTCTGTAACAAGATGTGTGGGGTTTTTTTCTCCTGTACACCAGGCAGTTCTCCAGTGGACACCAACTGGGTGTCATATAATTCAGTTCAATTCTGACACTATCTACATGAAGTTAGAATTAGATCCCACACCTTAAGGGCTCAGTCCCACCAGACTGCCCTGCTCCTCAGATGCCAGTTGCAAGTTTGGGCCTCCAGAACTTCTGGCTATAAATTGGGAGTTCCCATGACTCCCTCCTACTTAACTTGCTAGGGAGGCTCACAGAACTCAGGGAAACATTTTATTACATCTATCGGTTTATTACAAAGGATATTACAAAGGGTACAGATGGACAGACACATGAAGAGATACATAGGACAAGGTCTTGAAAGGTCCTGAGCACGGGTGTTTCTGTCCCTGTGGAGTTGGTATGTACCATCCTCCCAGCACATGGATGTGTTCCCCAACCCAAAAACTGTACCTTTGGTTTTGTTGTTGTTGTTGTTGTTGTTGTTTTGAGACGTAGTCTTGCTCTGTCGCCCAGGCTGCAGTGCAGTGGCATGATCTCGGCTCACTGCAACCTCCGCCTCCCGGGTTCAAGCAATTCTCCTGCCTCAGCCTCCCAAGTAGCTGGGACTGCAGGCATGCAACACCATGCTCAGCTAATTTTTGTATTTTTAGTAGGGATGGGATTCACTATGTTGGCCAGGATGGTCTCAATCTCCTAACCTCATGATCCGCCTGCCTCGGCCTCCCACAGTGCAGGGATTACAGGAGTGAGCCACCACACCCGGCCGGGATTTTTTTTCTTTTGAGATGGAGTCTTGCTCTTGTAGCACAAGCTGGAGTGCAATGGCGCGATCTCGGCTCACTGCAACCTCCGCCTCCCGGGTTCAAGTGATTCTCCTGCCTCAGCCTCCTGAGTAACTGGGATTACAGACACCTGCCACCACGCATGGCTAATTTTTTTTTTTTTTTTTGAGACGGAGTCTCGCTCTGTTGCCCAAGCTGGAGTGCAGTGGTGCAATCTTGGCTCACTGCAACCTCCACCTCTCGGGTTCAAGTGATTCTCCTGCCTCACCCTCCTGAGTAACTGGGACTACAGACTCACACCACCACACCCAGCTAATTTTATTTTTCTGTTTTTTGCTATTTTTAGTAGAGACAGGGTTTAGTAGCGATATGTTGTCCAGGCTAGTCTAGAACTCCTGACCTCAAGTGATCTGCCCACCTTGGCCTCCCAAAGTGTTGGGATTACAGGCGTGAGCCACTGTGCCTGGCCATGACTGATTATTAATGCCATTTCCAGCCCTCTCTCCTCTCCAGAAAATGGGAGGTAAGGGTAAAAGTTCCAAGCTTCAAATTATGACTTGGTCTTTCTGGTGGTTAGCCCCCATCCAGGAGCTCACAGAGTTGCTTCAGCACAAAATGTACTTCTATCAACTGAAATTACAAGAGACTTAGGAGCTCTGTATCAGAAGCTCCAATCTCTCAGAAAATTATACAGTTCTTAGAAGCTCTGTGTCAGACAGGAACCATGGTCAAAGACCAATTTGCATATTTCTTATTATTTTACACCATGCCATTAGGCAAGGCAGACAATTACATTTCTTCTATTCTTCAGTTTCCCAATCAGTAGAAAGAAGTAACAACTTGCTCTGGGTCTCCTGAGTAGCTTGGATCTCATAGCTAACTAACAGGTTTGCAGAGCAGCCAGAGCTCCCTTGGAAGTGACTTCCTATTTCCTTAATTTTTCTGACATTGATTAGAAGGGGAAAAAAAGGAAAAAAAATGAAATGCATAATATTAACGACTTTTAAAATACTTCTTTTGTTCCAAGCGTAGTATTTTATATGTCTCTGTGCATTGAATTCTCTTAATAGTTCTGTAAGGAACACAACATTATTAACCCCAATTTGCAACGAAGGAAACACGTTTAGAGAGTGGAAGTTATTACTCAGGATCACTGGCTTTCAACCCAAGTCGGTCTGACTCCAAAACTGGGTGCTCCAAACAACAGCACCCCACTACCCACTCTCCTGACCTTTTTGCCACTGAGGCCCAAAGATGCCTTCCCTTCTTGATGAGA
Organism: Homo sapiens; assembly: GCF_000001405.40. Taxonomy (NCBI): domain Eukaryota; kingdom Metazoa; phylum Chordata; class Mammalia; order Primates; family Hominidae; genus Homo; species Homo sapiens. The sequence continues at coordinate 34,151,744 of NC_000009.12, read as the reverse complement.
GAAGGGGTAGTCTCAGTCTCCTCACCTACATAATAAAGGAGTCAGAATCACTTCTCCCCCAAGGCCCCTTTACCTCTGACTGCTGCTGCTACTGGCAAGGCCAAGAGCTGAGTTCTGTGCTGATCACAGAGAAGAGCAAGGCCTCACTGAATTCATGGACTTTATGTCCCAACGGGAGCTCTCAACTGAGGTACATGACTTACTCCGGCAAAGAAGGGGCACTCTGGATGTCTGCAGATAAGGAGGTGGGCTGCAGATCAGGCAGAGAAATTGCTGGGTGGAATCGATAATGATAGACAAGAAAAAGACATTGATAAGAAAAGCGAGCCACTTTTTGAGGCAACCTTTTTCTTTTTCTCCTCTGGCCCTCATCTTTAGCTCTCTTTTATTTGTCTCTCAGATTCTTCAGAGAGTTGAGGAGGGGTAGATGAAATTGAAGGGAAATTGCTGCTCAATGGCTAACAATAAAAGGATGCAGGACGGTCACGCCTGTAATCCCAACACTTTGGGAGGCTGAGGCGGGTGGATCACAAGGTCAGGAGATTGAGACCATCCCGGCTAACACAGTGAAACCCTGTCTCCACTAAAAATACAAAAATTAGCTGAGCGTGGTGCTGGGCGCCTGTAGTCCCAGCTACTTGGGAGGCTGAAGCAGGAGAATGGCGTGAACCCGGGATGTGGAGGTTACAGTGAGCCGATATCGCGCCACCGCACTCCAGCCTGGGCGACAGAGCGAGACTCCGTCTCAAAAAAAAAAAATAAAAATAAAAATAATTGGATACAATAACTTAAATCAACTTTCTCCTCTTCCCAAACAGCCTGTAATAAGTCTGTCTCATTCTAGACAGTAAATAGGAAACTGAAAAACCAATTTTTGCTTGTGGCTTTTCATTATAGAGAATAATTTTTGTTGCTGTTGTTGTTGTTGTTTTTGAGTCTCACTGTGTTGCCCAGGCTGGAGTGCAGTGGCATGATCTTGGCTCACTGCAACCTCTGACGCCTGGGTTCAAGAGATTCTCCAGCCTCAGCCTCCCATGTAGCTGTGATTACAGGCATGTGCCACCACACCCGGCTAATTTTTGTATTTCTTTTAGTACAGTTGAGGTTTTACCATGTTGGCCAGGCTGGTCTCAAACTCCTGACCTCAAGTGATCCGCCCACCTCAGCCTCCCAAAATGCTGGGATTACAGGCGTGATCCACTGCACCCAGCCAAGAATAAATTTTAACTGGATAAACATGCCCTCTTTACTAGAATTCTGCTATAATGTCATTAACCTGTATTTAAGCATAAGAAAAATACTCCCATGCTCACCCTGATGACTCAGCCTTGAACTCAAGTCAGGTCTGCTGAAGGGAGATAAAACTGCAAAAGTCTCCATGGTGAGCATGGGGGGCACTTTACTCCTTCAGCCACAGTAGGTTTCCGCCCAGATGCAGCTCTTGGAAATTGGCTGGTGACCACTGGTGGCTGATGTCAAATGGTCCTCTGTGATTGTCCGTCCCCAGAGTATCAGGGGCACAGCTGTGTGGGGAGGATTTCTGTCTAGAGCTCCATCTCCCAGTCCTACTCTCTGACAAAAGTGATCCCATAGCCAATTGGTAGGGGATGAGGAGTAGGAAAGCCTGGAGAAAAGGGGCTTTGGCAGAGCACCACATGGTTCTCTGGGCAGAGCAGGGACTCCTGCATCAAAGCAGGGCACAGATGGTCTTCCAAGTAATTAGAGAAATTAAATCCCTGGCATATTTTAATCCCTGTACAGCTAGACTGCTAAAAAAGGAAGGAAGGAAAAGGAAAGGAAAAAGAAAAGGAAAAGGAAAAAAAATTGACAATACTTGGTATTGGCTAGGATGTGGGGAAATGGGCACTCTCATTTACAAGGAAAATGTAAAAATGTAAATTAGAATTTTTTTTTTTGAGACGTTGTCTCAATCTGTCACCCAGCCTGAAGTACAGTGGCGCAACCTCGGCTCCTTGCAATCTCCGCCTCCTGGGTTCAAGCGATTCTCCTGCCTCAGCCTCTGGAGTAGCTGGGATTACAGACAGCCATCACCACACCCAGGTAATTTTTTTGTATTTTTAGTAGTGACGGGACGGGGCTTCACCATGTTATCCAGGCTGGTCTCAAACGCCTTACCTCAAGTGATCTGCCTGCCTTGGCCTCCCAAAATGCTGGGATTACAGGCATGAGCCACTATGCCCGGCCATAAATTAGTATCTTTAGAGGACAATATGGCAGTATCTTCTCCACTCCACTCCAAGTTTCAAAACAGAACCAGGCCAGGAACGGTGGCTCACACCTGTAATCCCAGCACTTTGGGAGGCCGAGGTGGGAGGATCACTTGAGGTCAGGAGTTCAAGACCAGCCTGGCCAACATGGTGAAACCTTATCTCTACTAAACAAAAAAACAAAAAAACAAAAAAATTAGCTGGGCATGGTGGTGTGCACCTAAAATTCCAGCTACTCAGGCGGTTGAGGCACAAGAATCACTTGAACCTGGGAGGTGGAGGTTGCAGTGAACCAAGATTGTGCCACTGCACTCTAGCCTGAGCGACAGAGTGAGACTCTGTCTCAAAAAAAAAAAAAAAAAAAAAAAGGAAACAAACAAACAAACAAAAAAACACGCCATGAAAAGGAAGAGAGGTCTTCCTAGATCATATATCCATTTGACAGATAAGGAAACCAAGGTTCAGATATATTCCCCAGATTTGTTCAGAGTCTCCCTGTTAGTATGTGCCAGAGACCCTAAATGTGGATGGACACGGTGGCTCACACCTGTAATCTCAGCACTTTGGGAGGCCCAGGCAGGAGAATTTCTTGAGCAGAGGAGTTCAAGACCAGCTTGGCAACATAGTAAGACTCCCATTTCTACAAAAAATACAAAAAAATTTTAGCTGGGCATGGTGGTGTGCACCTGTAGTCACAGCTACTGGGGAGGCTAAGCAGGACGATCCCTTGAGCCCAGGAGGTAGAAGCTGCAGTGAGCTGTGATGTGCCACCGCCCTCTAGCCTGGGCTATAGAGTGGAACCCTGTCAATGCCAACAAACTTAAACCCCAATTGATGCCTTTTTTTCTTTTCTTTTTTTTTTTTTTTTTTTTTTTTGAGATGGAGTCTCACTCTGTTGCCCAGCCTGGAGTGCAGTGGTGCGATATCAGCTCAATGCAAGCTCCGCCTCCTGGGTTCACGCCATTCTCCTGCCTCAGCCTCCTGAGTAGCTGGGACTACAGGCGCCCGCCACCACACCTGGATAAATTTTTTTTTTATTTTTGGTAGAGACAGGATTTCACCATGTTAGCCAGGATGGTCTTGATCTCCTGACCTTGTGATCTGCCCGCCTCGGCCTCCCAAAGTGCTGGGATTACAGGTGTGAGCCACCACGCCCGGCCTGCCTTTTTTTCTTACAGCAAAATAAAACACAAAGGAGGGACCTTCTTGCTAGAAGGGACCATCAATACTTTCTGGAATAAGATGAAACTTAATTACATTAATCAAATTCTGGGTAGGCATATCATCTGCCAAAATGTCATTTAGAGAGCTGACAAATAGTTTTTATATCCCCTGTGGATTAGTCAAAACGTATTTGGTTTCCAATGACAGAAGCTCTACTCAAACTGAAGGAGCTTCCCAGACAGTGTTATCAGGATTGGCTTCTATCTCTTGGGTCTATGTTTCTCAGTGTTGACTTCATTCTTAGACAGGCTCCCCTACCGAATGGCAAGCTGATACCAGCAGCTCCAGCCTTACATTCTTCTAGTATAGTAGCCCCAGCATTATGGAGCTTTGTTCCTAATAGTTCCAGCTTTGGAAAGAACTAGATTACATATCCAATCCTAGAGTAATGGCCAGGTCGTCCCCAGTCAAACCACATAGCCTGAAATTAAGAGTATAATCAGGATTCTCTATCAAAAGAAGGGTGCGCAGATACCAGGAAGGCCAAAACAATAGTTATCCATTCCACCCTGTAAGGGAATGTAAACAAGGAAGAAATTTTGATGGAAAAGGGAGCATAAAGCATTTGTGATCTCCACATTTAAGACTTCCTCAAAATATCCTTTTATGGAAAGATACAAAGCTTCCCAAGGACAACACAGCCCCTCTATTCCCTTCAAATACGATTGTACAAAGAAAGTAATACCCTTCTGCCTACTATGAGTGAATAGATGTGTCTGTCCACTGTCTGGCCAGCTGTCAACTGCCTCACTGTGCCCTGGAGAGAGTTTTTTTGTTTGGTTTTTTTTTTGAGATGGAGTCTCACTCTGTCGCCCAGGCTGGAGTGCAGTGGCGTGATCTCGGCTCACTGCAACCTCCACCTCCAGAGTTCAAGCAATTCTCCTGCCTCAGCTTCCCAAGTAGGTGGGATTAGAGGCATGCGCCATCACGTGTGGCTAATTTTTTTGTATTTTTAGTAGAGACAGGGTTTCACCGTATTTGCCAGGCTGGTCTTGAACTCCTGACCTTGTGATCCACTGGCCTCGGCCTCCCAAAGTGCTGGGATTACAGGCATGAGCCACCGCGCCTGGCCCTAGGAGAGAGCTTTTTTTTGGGGTTTTTTTTTGTTTTTTTTTTGAGACAGAGTCTCGCTCTGTCGCCCAGGCTGGAGTGCAGTGGCACGATCTTGGCTCACGGCAAGCTCTGCCTCCCGGGTTCACGCCATTCTCCTGCCTCAGCCTCCCGAGTAGGTGGGACTACAGGCGCCCGCCACCACGTCTGGCTAATTTTTTGTGTTTTTAGTAGAGACGGGGTTTCACCGTGTTAGCCAAGATGGTCTCGATCTCCTGACCTTGTGATCTGCCTGCCTCAGCCTCCCAAAGTGCTGGGATTACAGGCGTGAGCCACCGCGCCCGGCCAGGAGAGAGCTTTTGAGGGACGAAATGGTTTTCATTCTTAGGGCCTGTTTCACAGGAGGCTGGATTGACAGGAAAAACAGGAAGATATAAATCTGTCTATATATCTGGTGCTAAAAACCTGGAACCAGTGTAATATTGAGGAGCAAATCTGTGTGTGTGTGTGTGTCCCTTTATGTAGACTACAGGAAAAGAAGGGTTAGAAGAAAGGGAAGGAAAACCGAGAGAGAAAAGTCCTGGTCTGCTGGTTCGTGCCTCTTGCGCCTGTAATCCTAGTGTTTTGGGAAGTCCAGGCGGGAGGATCCCTTGAAGCCAGGAGTTGTAGACCATCCTGGGCAATATACAGTGAGACCCTGTCTCTACAAAATTAAAAAATTAGCTGGGTGTGGTGGCATGTGCCTGTAGTCCCAGCTATTCCGGAGGCTGAAGTAGGAGGATTGTTTAGGCCCAGGAGGTCGAGGCTGCAGTAAGCTATAATTGTGCCACTGCACTCCAGCCTGGGCAACAGAGGGAGACCCTGCCTCAAAAAAAAAAAAAAAAAAAAAAGAGAGAGAGAGAGTTTGGTTTTCTAAGCAGGTTTTATTTTTTATTTTATTTATTTAGTTTTTTTGAGATGGAGAGTCCCTCTGTTGCCAGGCTGGAGTGCAGTGGCATGATCTCAGCTCACTGCAACCTCTGCCTCCAGGGTTCAAGCAATTCTCCTGCCTCAACCTCCTGAGTAGCTGGGACTACAGGCGCGCACCACCACGCCCAGCTAATTTTTGTATTTTTAGTAGAGATGGGGTTTCACCATTTTGGCCAGGATGGTCTCGATCTCTTGACCTTGTGATCCGCCCGCCTCAGCTTCCCAAAGTGCTGGAATTACAGGTATGAGCCCCCGCACCTGGCCAACAGGTTTTATATTCTTATTGCCTTTTTTTTCTTCCTGTTTTCATTAGTTAGGATATTGACCAGACAGAGACAAAAATATCAGTGGCTTCTTCAAGGTAGAAGTTCTGTTTTTCTCGGCTGGGCACGGTGGCTCATGCCTGTAATCCCAGCACTTTGGGAGGCCGAGGCGGGTGGATCACCTGAACTCAGGAGTTTGAGACCAGCCTGGCCAACATGGTGAAACCCTGTCTCTACTAAAAATACAAAAATTAGCCAGGTGTGGTGGCGGGTGCCTGTAATCCCAGCTACACAGAAGGCTGAGGCAGGAGAATCACTTGAACCCAGGAGGAGGAGGTTGCAGTGAGCCAAGATCGCACCATTGCACTCTAGCCTGGGCAACAAGACAGAAACTCCGTCTCAAAAAAAAAAAAAAAGTTCTGTTTTTCTCCCAGGTAAAAGTCTAAGCTGGCAGATTATACAGGGCCAGTCAGGGACTCTGTCACCCCAGGCCCTCTGGGACTCATTTCTTCCATCTCGTTGCTTTGCCATCCTCCATGGTGTTACACTTGTCACAGGGTCAGAGCTGACTCACCTCCCATACATCTTAAAGAGGGGAAAGCAAAGGACAAGCAGCTTCTTATTAAGGCATGATCTGAAAGTTGCCAACATCACTTTCCCTTTGGCCAGAGTATTGTCTCATGGTCATACCTAGATGCAAGAGAGAGCTGCAGCTGGCAAGCACTCAGCTAAACTCAGGGGGAGGGCCAGGAGCAGTGGCTCACGCTTGTAATTGCAGCACTTTGGGAGACCAAGACGGGTGGATCACTTGAGGTCAGGAGTGTGAATACAGCCTGGCCAACATGGTGAAACCCCGTCTCAACTAAAAACACAAAAATTAGCCGGGCGTGGTAGTGGGTGCCTGTAATCCCAGCTACTCAGGAGGCTGAGGCAGGAGAATCACTTGAACCCAGGAAGTAGAGGTTGCAGTGAGCCAAGATCGCGCCATTGCACTCCAGCCTGGGCAATAGAGTGAGACTCCATCTCAAAAAATTAAAAAAAAAAAAAATTCAGGGGGAATCCATTACTAACTAAAAGGTGGGGATATTGGGGAACAATTAGCAACCACTCTCCTTCACTCTTCTTTTTTTTTTTCTTGAGACAGAGACTTGCCTGTTGCCTAGGATGGAGTGCAGTGGCGAGATCCTAGCTCACTACAACCTTGACCTCCTTGGCTCAAGTGATCCTCCGACCTCAGCCTCCCAAATAGCTGCGACTACAGGCACCTGCCATTATGCCTGGCCCTTCTTCACCCTTCTAATCAAAGCTAGTTCTACCCATTTCTCTCTTAAAATCCTCTACACTCTTATTTGCTTATGTGACTTCTTTTTTTTTTTTTTTTTTTTTGAGATGGAGTCTCTCACTCTGTCACCCAGGCAGGAGTGCAGTGGCACGAGCTCGGCTCACTGCAACCTCCAGCTCCCAGGTTCAAGCCATTCTTCTGCCTCAGCCTCTCGTGTAGCTGGGATTATAGGTGCCCACCACTATGTCCAGCTAATTTTTGTATTTTTAGTAGAGAGGCAGTTTTGCCATGTTGGCCAAGCTGGCCTCAAAACTCCTGACCTCAGGTGATCCATCCGCCTCGGCCTCCCAAAGTGCTGGGATTACAGATGTGAGCCACAGCATTAGGCCTATGTGACTTCTTTTAAGGAGCCATTCTTGATCTTCTTCCTCTGCTGAGCTCCCACAGCTCTGTTCATACTCCTTATGGTCCTTAGACTATCAAGTGCTTTAGTTGGATGGGTTCCCTACTAGTCTATGAGCTCCTTAAGGACAGGGAGGAGGACCAGGTCACATCTCTGCCCACCCACCACACGTATCACACAGTAGGGCCTAAGAAATGATTGCTAAAGGAATGAATCTTTTTCACTTCTCTGACAATAAATTGGAAATATTAGAATGTTGGAAAGTTGAAAACTCCTAAGTACTGTATTTCAGTGTTCGTTTCTTTTTTTTTTTTTTTTTTTGAGACAGAGTCTTGCTCTGTCACCCAGGCTGGAGTGCAGTGGTGTGATCTTGGCTCACTGCAAGCTCTGCCTCACGGGTTCACGCCATTCTCCTGCCTCAGCCTCCCGAGTATCTGGGACTACAGGCGCCTGCCACCATGCCCGGCTAATTTTTTTTTTTGTATTTTTAGTAGAGATGGGGTTTCACCGTGCTAGCCAGGATGGTCTCGATCTCCTGACCTCGTAATCCGCCTGCCTCAGCCTCCCAAAGTGCTGGGATTACAGGCGTGAGCCACCGCGCCCGGCCCAGTGTTGGTTTCTTAAAAGCAAGGACCAACCGGGCACTGTGGCTCACGCCTGCAATCCTAGCACTTTGGTAGGCCGAGGCAGGTGGATTGACTGAACTCAGGAGTTCAAGACCACCCTGGGCAACATGGTGAAACCCTGTCTCTACTAAAATACAAAAAATTAGCTGGGCGTGGTGGTGGGGGCCTGTAGTCCCAGCTATTCAGGAGGCTGAGGCACAAGAATTGCTTGAGCTTGGGAGGCAGAGGTTGAGCCGAGATCACACCACTGCACTCTAGCATGGTCAACAGAGCGAGACTCAGCCTCCAAAAAAAAAAAAAAAAAAAAGCCAGAACCTTCTCTTACATAACCATATTTTTTTTTTACTGTGGTTTGCCAGATGTTTCCTTAAATGCCTGGAGAAAAGGAAATAAGGGAAGGAAAAAAGCAGTACAAAAGAAAAGAAAAATTTCCAGGTCTTTGCAGATTGGCTCTATGTTGAATCACTCCTTCTATGCTTAGCCATGCTGTTTGCAACTCTGTCTAAACCTCCACTTCTTGCTTGCACTGAGTCTAAAAATCAGGCAGAGGTGAAAACTCATGGTCTTCCCAGTTTTTCTCTAAGCATGTGTCCTTCTCTTGGCATGTGTGTGGCTTTCTAGATTCCCCTGTAAACATAGAAAACTTTCAAAGCTCTTATTCTCCCCCAAAATATCATTCTCTGGATTTTCCTCTCAGGCTTTCAACATGTCTGTTGTTTGATCTAGCTGTTTTTTTGATTGTTTGTTTTGCCCAGCCCATAGCAGTTCATTCATTTGTTCTTAATTGCTTTTAGGAAAAGTCTGTGTAGCTGCTCTATCCTAGCAGAGTTCCAAGTTAGTTACAACAAAGAGAAACCCTAGTTAGGTTCAAAAGACAAATCCTGGGCCGGCGCGGCGGCTCACACCTGTAATCCTAGTACTTTGGAAGGCCAAGGTGGGTGGATCACCTGAGGTCAAGAGTTTGAGACCAGCCTGGCCAACATGGTGAAACCCCCTCTCTACTAAAAATACAAAAATTATCTGGGCGTGGTGGCGGGCACCTGTAATTCCAGCTACTTGGGAGGCTGAGGCAGGAGAATGGCATGAACCCGGGAGGCAGAGGCTGCTATGAGCTGAGATCACACCATTGCACTCCAGCCTGGGTGAAAGAGCGAAACTCAGTCTCAAAAAAAAAAAAAAAAAAAAAAAAAAAAAAATCAAATCCTATTCCATAGGAACAAGGTCCACTCTGCTCTCTCTAGAACGAGGTATCTGAACAGGGAACACAAGCTGCTGGCTCTAAGATCACTGCTTCTCTAAGGAGGGGATGGGGCTAAGGTAAGCTAAAATACCACAAAAATCTTAGCTGCTTCAGTGGCCTTTCTCTTGGTTAAGCATTTGGTTGCTGTAAACTTTTCTTTTTCTTTTTTTTTTTTTTTTTGAGATGGAGTGTCACTCTGTCGCTCAGGCTGGAGTGCAGTGGCACAATCTTGGCTCACTGCAATCCCCTCCTTCCAGGTTCAAGCAATTCTCCTGCCCCAGCCTCCCAAGTAGCTGGGACTACAGGCGCACGCCACCACGCCCAGCTAATTTTTGTATTTTAAGTAGAGACAGCGTTTCACCATATTGGTCAGGCTGATCTTGAACTCCTGGTCTCAGGTGATCCACCCGCCTCAGTCTCCCAAAGTGCTGGGATTACAGGCATAAGCCATAGCACCCGGCCCGTTGCTGTAAACTTTTAACTGTCTCCTAGCATTCTGATAAGGTTGAATTCCAACAGGTTTTGCCAAGTTTTTCAGTGTTTCTGGGGAGAAATGGATCCCCTACTCTGCCATTTTCAATAATGCCACTTCTAACCTCCATGCCTTTTTATTATACTCAATTTCTATCTTTTTATGTTGTTCTCTCTTTTTTTTTTCTTTGAGGTGGAGTCTCCTCTGTCACCCAGGCTGGAGCGTAATGGTGTGATCTCGGGTCACTGCAACCTCCACCTCCCAGATTCAAGTGATTCTCCTGCCTCAGCCTCCTGAGCAGCTAGGATTACAGGCACCTGCCACCACACCAAGCTAATTTTTGTTTTTCGGTTTTTTTGAGATGGAGTCTCGCTCGGTTGCCTGGCCTGGAGTGCGGTGGTGCAATCTCGGCTCATTGCAGCATCCGCCTCCCCAGTTCAAGCTATTCTCCAGCCTTAGCCTCCTGAGTAGCTGGGATTACAGGCATGCGCCACTGTGTCTGGCTAATTTTTGTATTTTTTAGTAGAGATGGGGTTTCACCATGTTGTCCAGGCTGATCTCGAACTCCTGACCTCAGGTGATTCGCCCACCTCGGCCTCTCAAAGTGCTAGGATTACAAGCGTGAAACACTGTGCCTGGTCAATTTGTATGCTGTTCTCTAAGCCACTTCCTTAGAACCATCTTCTAATTCACTAACACTCTGTTTGTCTATGTCCATCTAAGATAATGTATATCTAGTTTATTGAGGGTTTATTACCAATAACTTACTTTTTTCATTTAGGAAATTATTTTCAGGATTTCTAATTGATTCATTTATTTTTAATTTTTAAAGTTTTCATTTTGAAATAATTTTAGATTTACAGAAGAGCTTCAGAGATAGCATAGCAAATTCTTGTTTATCCTCCACCCAGCTTTCCCTAATGTTAACAGTTACGTAATGTCTTGCATAACTGAGACATTTATCAAAAGTAAGAAACTAAACTTGATATAATACTATTAACTTTATTCAGATTTCCTTAATTTTTCTTTTTTCTTTTTTTCTGTTCAGAATCCAATCCAAGACACCATGTTGAATCTAGTTGTCAAGTCTCAAATCCGTGACTGTACTCAGTCTTTCATTGTCTCATGACCTTGGCATTTTTAAAGAGTACTGGGCAGGTTATTTTGTCTAATGTTCCTCAATTTAGGTTTTTATCTGATGTTTTCTGTTAAGCTAGGGTTATAGATTTTGGGGAAGAATGCTACAGAGGTAAAGTGCCCTTCTCATCACATCATATAAGGGGTTATAAGATATCAGTCTGACATTATTATTTAGGTTAACTTGATCACTTGGTTAAGGTGGTATCTCCATTGTGCAGTTGCTATTTTTCCCTTTCCAAATTCTATGCATTAGAAGTGAGTCACTGAGTCCAGGCAATACTGAATAAGAGAGAAATTGAGCTGTACTTCCCAGAGGGAGATGAATCAAAGAATATGTGTTCTTTCTTTCTTTATTTATTTAGAGACAGGGTCTCACTATATCTCCCAGGCTGTTCTCAAACCCCTGGCCTCAAATGATCCTCCTGTCTTGGCCTCCCACAGTGCTGGGATTATAGGCATGAGCCAATGCGCGAGATCTCTTTTTACGTTTATTCAATTTGTTATTCTTCCTTTATCCCTTTGAGGATCCAAGGCATACTTGTGTTGAAGCCTTTTATTTCTGTTGTTTTTTTCTTAGATTGAGAGTATCTGTGAAAAAGGTCTTTTAAAGATTGTTCTTTTCTTTGCATTTATCTATAGTGAATTACCCTCCTAATTATGGAGGATTTTACTTTGTTTGTTTTTTTGGTTGGTTTTTTTTTTTTTTTTTTTTTTGGTGTTGGTGTTGGGGAATTTGTCCTGTCTACAATTAATTTTAATAAGTTGAGGAAATTTATTTGCAGGTTCATCTTAGAGTGGGAAGTTTTGCAATTTCGTTCTGTTTTGTTTTGCTATAACCTTCTTTCTCACTGCTCTCACCATCCTTATCTAGGGTTTTTGTGAATTCAGTCATGGCCCTGTATGTTTGGCACAGATCCTGGTTTTGTGGCCATGTCTATGTTGGCCTGGTTCCTGGGTATGAGAGTTACAAAAGCTGCTGTCCCAGGCAGCAGAGGGCAGCAGCTTGTTTCAGCCTCTTTTTCTCACCTCAGCCCCTAGTTTTATGAACTAAAACAGATTCCAAGCCACTCTGACTGGAGCATTTTCCTCTATTAGATTACTTTTTTTACTTTGAAAAAAATTTTTTTTTTTTTTTGGAGAGTGGGTCTCACTCTGTTGCGCAGGCTGGAGTGCAGTGGTGCAATTGTAGCTCACTGCAACCTCCACCTCCCCAGGCTTAGGTGATTCTCCACCTCAGCCTCCCAAGTAGCTGGGACTACAGATGCACGCCACCATGCCCAGCTAATTTTCGTATTTTTTTGTATAAACAGGGTTTCATCATGTTGCTCAGACTAGTCTCGAACTCCTGGCCTCAAGTGATCCACCCATCTCTACCTCCCAAAGTGCTATGATTACAGGTGTGAACCACCATGCCCAGCCAAAAATGATGTTTTTAATAGATACAAAAATAAAATAGGTAAGTTCTCATAAAATTACTATATTTAAACAATAGGGGCCAGGCGCAGTGGCTCACACCTGTAATCCCAGCACTTTGGGAGGCTGAGGCAGGCGGATCTTTGAGGTCAGGAGTTCAAAACCAGCCTGGCCAACATGGTGAAATCCCATCTCTACTAAAAACACAAAAGAATAGCCAGGCAGGGTGATGGGCACCTGTAATCCCAACTACTTGGGAGGATGAGGCAGGAGAATTGCTTGAGCCCGGGAGGCGGAGGTTGCAGTGAGCCGAGATCGTGCCATTGCACTCCAGCCTGGACAACAGAGCAAGACTCTGTCTCAGAAAGCAAACAAACAAACAAACAAAAAACCAACAGGGAAAAATTTATGTCTGCAATTTTATTTCAATAAATAAGCACACAAGTAGGTGGTAAGAATACACACACAGAGAGGGAACATCACAATATTTATTGCATTTATTTCTTGGAAATGGTTTTTGATTGTTGTTTTGAGACAGGTCTCACTGCAAACTGCACATCCTGGGCTCTAAAAAACCTCTAACCTCAGCCCCACCCCCAATAGCTGGGACTACAAGTGCACACCACCACACCTGGCTAATTTTTTTTTTTTTTTTAGCGTGTAACCTTTTTTTTTTTTTTTTAATTTATTTATTTTTTATTGATCATTCTTGGGTGTTTCTCACAGAGGGGGATTTGGCAGGGTCACAGGACAATAGTGGAGGGAAGGTCAGCAGATAAACAAGTGAACAAAGGTCTCTGGTTTTCCTAGGCAGAGGACCCTGCGGCCTTCCGCAGTGTTTGTGTCCCTGGGTACTTGAGATTAGGGAATGGTGATGACTCTTAACGAGCATGCTGCCTTCAAGCATCTGTTTAACAAAGCACATCTTGCACCGCCCTTAATCCATTTAACCCTGAGTGGACACAGCACATGTTTCAGAGAGCACAGGGTTGGGGGTAAGGTCACAGATCAACAGGATCCCAAGGCAGAAGAATTTTTCTTAGTACAGAACAAAATGAAAAGTCTCCCATGTCTACCTCCTACTACACAAACACGGCAACCATCCGATTTCTCACTCTTTTCCCCACCTCTCCCCACTTTCTACTCCACAAAACCGCCATTGTCATCATGGCCCGTTCTCAATGAGCTGCCGGGCACACCTCCCAGACGGGGAGGTGGCCGGGCAGAGGGGCTCCTCACCTCCCAGTAGGGGCGGCCGGGCAGAGGCGCCCCCCACCTCCCGGACGGGGCGGCTGGCCGGGCGAGGGGCTGACCCCCCCACCTCCCTCCCGGACCGGGCGGCTAGCCGGGCAGAGGGGCTCCTCACTTCCCAGTAGGGGCAGCCGGGCAGAGGCGCCCCTCACCTCCCGGAAGGGGCGGCTGGCCGGGCAGGGGGCTGACCCCCCCGACCTCCCTCCCGGACGGGGCGGCTGGCTGGGTAGAGGGCTGACCCCCCCACCTCCCTCCCGGACGGGGCGGCCGGCCGGGCGGGGGGGCTGACCCCCCCACCTCCCTCCCGGACGGGGCGGCCGGCCGGACGGGGGCTGACCCCCCCACCTCCCTCCCGGACCGGGCGGCTGGCCGGGCAGAGGGGCTCCTCACTTCCCAGTAGGGGCGGCCGGGCAGAGGCGCCCCTCACCTCCCGGACGGGGCGGCTGGCCGGGCGGGGGGCTGACCCCCCCACCTCCCTCCTGGACGGGGCGGCTGGCCTGGCGGTGGGTGACCCCCACCTCCTTCCTGGACGGGGTGGCTGCCGGGCGGTGACGCTCCTCACTTCTCAGAGGGCGCGGCTTCCGGGCGGAGGGGCTCCTCACTTCTCAGACGGGGCGGCCGGGCAGAGATGCTCCTCACCTCCCAGACGGGGCGGCGGGGCAGAGGCGCTCCCCACATCTCAGACGATGGGCGGCCTGGCAGAGACGCTCCTCACTTCCTAGATGGGATGGCGGCCGGGAAGAGGCGCTCCTCACTTCCTAGATGGGATGGTGGCCGGGAAGAGGTGCTCCTCACTTCCTAGATGGGATGGCGGCCGGGCAGAGACGCTCCTCACTTTCCAGACTGGGCAGCCAGGCAGAGGGGCTCCTCACGTCCCAGATGATGGGCGGCCAGGCAGAGACGCTCCTCACTTCCCAGACGGGGTGGCGGCAGGGCAGAGGCTGCAATCTCGGCACTTTGGGAGGCCAAGGCAGGCGGCTGGGAGGTGGAGGCTGTAGCGAGCTGAGATCACGCCACTGCACTCCAGCCTGGGCAACATTGAGCACTGAGTGAACCAGACTCCGTCTGCAATCCCGGCACCTCGGGAGGCCGAGGCTGGCGGATCACTCGCGGTCAGGAGCTGGAGACCAGCCCGGCCAACACAGCGAAACCCCGTCTCCACCAAAAAAATACGAAAACCAGTCAGGCGTGGCGGCGCGTGCCTGCAATCGCAGGCACTCGGCAAGCCGAGGCAGGAGAATCAGGCAGGGAGGCTGCAGTGAGCGGAGATAGCAGCAGCACAGTCCAGCCTCGGCTCGGCATCAGAGGGAGACCGTGGAAAGAGAGGGAGAGGGAGACCGTGGGGAGAGGGGGAGGGGGAGGGAGAGGGCAGCGTGTAACCTTTGTAACTTCACTTCAGCCTCCACACCTGGCTAATTTTTGTATTTTTTTGTAGTAACAGGGTTTCACCATGTTGCCTGGGCTGGCTGTAAACTCCCAGCCTCAAGTGATCTGCCTGCCTCGGCCTCCCAAAGTGCTGGGATTACAGGCATGAGCCACCACCAGCCGGTAATGGTCTTTAAAGACATTTCTGGACATTTGTGATCAGAGGAAAAACGTTGCCTAATTATCTAATAATTTTTTTAAAATATTTGTTCCATTTTGCAAGCCATTTTATTTTCCTATCATTAGTTGATACCTATGTGTTTGTTTTTATGCCAAGATTGTGTTGTATTTGACTCAAAAAATATGACTGATGGAAGACTCCTCAACAAAATTGGTAGGTAATATTTGTGTACAATTTTTATATTTATATATACCCACATTAGTCATTTCAGAAATGTATGAAGGCGGTAGGAAGATAGCATGAGTAGGATGAGGTACATTGTTTTTCTTCCAATTAGCTATTTCTCTCTTATTTTTTATTTTTGTTTTACTTTATTTTATTTGAGATGGAGTCTCGCTCTGTTGCCCAGGCTGGAGTGCAGTGGCATGATCTCGGCTCACTGCAACCTCTACCTCCTGGGTTCAAGCGATTATCCTGCCTCAGCCTCCCTAGTAGCTGGGATTATAGGCACCTCCACCACACCCAGCTAGTTTTTGTATTTTTAGTAGAGACGGAGTTTCACCATGTTGGCCAGGCTGGTCTCAAACTCATGACCTCAAGTGATCCACCTGCCTCAGTCTCCCAAAGTGCTGGATTTACAGCCACCTTGTCCAGCCAATTTTTTAAAAATAAATTTCTTGGCCAGGCGCAGTGGCTCACACCTGTAATCCCAGCACTTTGGGAGGCTGAGATGGGTGGATCGCTTGAGGTCAGGAGTTCGAGACCAGCCTGGCCAACATGGTGAAACTCCGTCTCTACCAAAAATACAAAAACTAGCTGGGCTTGGTGGTGGACGCCTGTAATCCCAGCTACTTGGGAGGCTGAGGCAGGAGAATCGCTTGAAGCTGAGAGGTGGAGGTTGCAGTGAGCTGAGATCACACCATTGCACTCCAGCTGGGTGACAAGAGTGAGACTCCATCTCAAAAAATAAATAAATAAATAAATAAATAAATTACTTGATCTTATTAAGTAGAAAAGTTTTGTCTCTTCCTTTATTTTCTTATTTTATTAAGGTTACAGATAAAAGTAAGACTGTTTAACAGGCAGGAGCAACAGAAAACAAGGACTCTTGAAACTTTACAAACTCTATGATCAATTAATGAATGATTGGAAATTGTCTGTACTGAGAATGATGGCTCGCACCTGTAGTCCCAAGTACTCTGGAGGCTGAGGCAGAAGGATCCCTTGAGTTGTGAGTCCAGCCTGGACAACATAGTGAGACCCTGTCTCTAAAAAAATAAATGAAACAGAAATTGTCTGTACTGTACTTAACACAAATTCTACCAACGTATGCCAAATTATGCATAACATATAGAAATAGAATTTCTGCTGTCAAAGTAGTAGATGTTCTGGATAAAACATTTCAGGTTCTGAATAAAGAAAAAACATGAGAGTACAAGGGAAATGCTAAAATAAATACCACTTGAGACTTCAACTGGACCCAGATATTTAATGTGGTAGTGCTGAAAATTATGGGCCTAGCATGGTGACTCACGCCTGTAATCCCAGCACTTAGGGAGGCCGAAGCATGTAAAGCACTTTAGCTCAGGAGTTCAAGACCAGCCTGTGTAACATGGTGAAACCCCATCTCTACAAAAAATACAAAAATTAGGCGGGCATGGTGGCCTGCACCTGTAGTCCCAGCTACTTAGGAAGCTGAGGTGGGAGGATGGCTTGAGCCCAAGAGGCAAAGGTTGCAGTGAGCTGAGATCATACCACTACACTCCAGCTTGGGCCACAGACCCTGCTCTCAAAAAAAAAAAAAAAAAAGATCCCCCGTCCCAGGCCCGCCGGACCCGCGCTAGCAGCGTGGCAGCAGCGTGGCAGCAGCGCGGCAGCGGCGGCGGCGGCGGCGGGCGGTCCAGCGGGTGTTTCTCTCGGGTCGCAGGGTCTCCCAGCAGCGTGGTGGACTACCTGATCAGCGGTGGTACCGGCTACATGCCCGAGGACGGGCTCATCGCGCAGCAGCTCTTCGCCAGCGCCTAAGGCCTCACCTAGGACGCCTTCCTGATTCTCCCAGGACTCATAGACTTCATAGCTGAGGTGGACCTTACCTCAGCCCTGACCCGGAAGATCACGCTGAAGACACCGCTGATCTCCTCCCCCATGGACACTGTGACAGAGGCTGACGTGGCCATCGCGATGGCTCTGATGGGAGATACTGGTTTCATTCACCACAACTGCACCCCAGAGCTCCAGGCCAAGGAGCTACGGAAGGTCAAGAAGTTTGAACAGGGCTTCATCACGGACCCCACGGTGCTGAGCCCCTCCCACACTGTAGGTGATGTGCTGGAGGCCAAGATGCGGCATGGCTTCTCTGGCATCCCCATCACTGAGACGGGCACCATGGGCAGCAAGCTGGTGGGCATCGTCACCTCCCGAGACATCAACTTTCTTGCTGAGAAGGACCACACCACCCTCCTCAGTGAGGTGATGACGCCAAGGCTCGAGCTGGTGGTAGCTCCAGCATGTGTGACGTTGAAAGAGGCAAATGAGATCCTGCAGCGTAGCAAGAAAGGGAAGCTGCCTATCATCAATGATCGCAATGAGCTGGTGGCCATTATCACCGGCAGCGACCTGAAGAAGAACCAAGACTACCCTCTGGCCTCCAAGGATTCCCAACAAGCAGCTGCTGTGCGGGGCAGCTGTGGGCACCCGTGAGGATGACAAATATCGCCTGGACCTGCTCACCCAGGTGGGCGTCGACATCATAGTCTTGGACTCGTCCCAAGGGAACTTGGTGTATCAGATCGCCATGGTGCATTACATCAAACAGAAGTACCCCCACCTCCAGGTGATTGGCAGGAACGTGGTGACAGCAGCCCAGGCCAAGAACCTGATTGACGCTGGTGTGGACGGGCTGTGTGTGGGCATGGGCTGCGGCTCCATCTGCGTCACCCGGGAAGTGATGGCTTGTGGTCAGCCCCAGGGCACTGCTGTGTACAAGGAGGCCAAGTATGCCCGGCGCTTTGGTGTGCCCATCATAGCCAATGGCAGCATCCAGACCATGGGGCACATAGTCAAGGCCCTGGCCCTTGGAGTCTCCACAGTGATGATGGGCTCCCTGCTGGCCATCACCATGGAGGCCCCTGGTGAGTACTTCTCAGACGAGGTGCGGCTCAAGAAGTACTGGGGCATGGGCTCACTGGATGCCATGGAGAAGAGCAGCAGCAGCCAGAAACGATACTTCAGCAAGGGGGATAAGGTGAAGATCGTGCAGGGTGTCTTGGGCTCCATCCAGGACAAAGGGTCCATTCAGAAGTTCGTGCCCTACCTCATAGTGGGCATCCAGCACGGCTGCTAGGATATCGGGGCCCACAGCCTGTCTGTCCCTCGGTCCATGATGTACTCAGGAGAGCTCAAGTTTGAGAAGCGGATCATGTCGGCCCAGATCGAGGGTGGCGTCCATGGTCTGCACTTTTATGAAAAGCGGCTGTACTGAGGACAGCAGTAGAGGCCAAGGTGATGGAGGGGGCACAGCCTCCCCCCATAACTGAGTGGTCCACAGATTTGCATTACGGGTTCCCCAGCTCCTTTCCAGGGAGAGAGGAGGGGAGGCCCTGAAGGGTCTCCGGGCCCTCGCTGGGCATCCCCTGCAGAGTCAGGGCTGCTCCCTGGGCCAGGCTGCCCTGGGAGCCCCCCGAGCCCAGCCAGCCAGGTTCTCAGGCCCTGCACCTGCCTCAGGTCTTTCTTGCTGCAGCCTGCTCCAGCCCAGCCCCCATCCCAGGGGCAGGCAGCCCCTCCTGGTTTCTCCTGTAGGGCACCTCCCTGCCCCCAGCCCCCCCAGGAAATGGTGCTCTCCTGGCCCTGCCTCTGGCCCTTCGTGGGCCGCTGCCCCCTCAGCCATGTAGCACTTCTGAGCTCCTGACCTAGGCCAAGGGGAGGTCTCTGCCCTCTTCCCCGGCCCTGGGCTACCCTTGGGTCCTGCTCCTCAGGCCACTCCCCTGTCCCTGGCCCTGGGGAGGAGGCTGCCCTGGTCATGGCCACCTGCCTGTCATTCCTGACTCATCACCGTCCCCAGTGAACCATTCCTGCCCTCTCCTCAGCTGCAGTTGAAGGCTTTAACTTTGCACACTTTGGGATCACAGTTGCATCATTATGTGTTAAGTAATTGGAATAAATCAAGCAGGTCTCAATGCCAAAGAAAGAAAGAGAAAGAAGGAAAGAAAGAGAGAAAGAAAGAAAAGTAGAAAAGAAAAGAAAAGAAAAAATTTTGTAGACCAGAGTTCATGGGTTTCAGCTCTGGCTTATCTCTTGTCTGGTTGCATGACTTGTCATTTTTGGCCTTAGTTTTCTTTAAAACTATAAGTTTAAGACATGAGCTGTCTCTCTATATCTACCACTTTTTTTTTTTTTTTTTTTGAGACGGAGTCTCACTCTGTTGCACAGACTGGAGTGCATTGGCTGAATCTCAACTCACTGCAACCTCCGCCTCCCGAATTCAAGTGATTCTCCTGCCTCAGCCTCCTGAGTAGCTGGGATTACAGGTGTCCGCCACCATGCCTAGCTAATTTTTGTATTTTTAGTAGAGGCCTCAAGTGATCCACCCGCCTTAGTCTCCCAAAGTGCTGGGATTACAGGTGTAAGCCACCTCGCCCGGCCTATATCTTCCACTTTTAATAACCTATGCCCAGAATCTGAAAAATATTTCCACAGTGGGTGAAGTAATTACGATTCCATGCCTCAGAGGCCTCTCACATCCCTACGTCATCGGAGAGCCGTTTTTGTGCGCTTACCATCTGTGTTCATTTGTGTCCTATGTCCTCTGGGTCTCTTTCCTTGCTATGTTTTATTATGGTTGTATGAATTAAAATCCAAAATCCTTTTTCCTAACAGAAATACTTTCCTCCTGAGCTCTTACTTGCCCCTTTGCTAGCAAGCGTGGTTAATTAGCTCCAACACATGAAGGGTAGAGTCAAACAGGGAATTGTATTAACATCCGCTTTGTTTGTTCCAGGAAACCTATGCAAATAAACAAGAGAAAATTCTGTTACTAAGCAAGTATAACACAATTCAGTTTGCCCAAAGCACTTTATAGTATTTCTTATTGTTTATTCTTCCTGGCAAGACCAAGGCAAGAGAAGGTAACAGGTGCAGATCCATTAATGACCCTCTAGCAGCACATTGCATTGTGATGAAATGGTTATAAGAACTGAATTGGAGGAATGGGGTTAGAGAAGATTGGAACTGTTGGGGTTTTTATTTGAGGCTACAAAATAGTATAGTTTGAGGGCCAGACACTGTGGCTCATGCCTGTAATATCAGAACTTTAGGAGGCCGAGGCATGCAGATCACTTGAGGTCAGGAGTTCTAGACAAGCCTGGCAAACATGGGGAAACCCTGCCTCTACTGAAAATACAAAAATTAGGGCCAGGAGTGGTGGCTCACGCCTGTAATCCTAGCACTTTGGGAGGCCGAGGCAGGCGGATCACCTGAGGTCGGGAGTTCGAGACCATCCTGACCAACATGGAGAAACCCCATCTCTACTAAAAATACAAAAACATTAGCCAGGCGAGGTGGTGGGCACCTGTAATCCCAGCTACTCAGGAGGCTCAGGCAGGAGAATCGCTTGAACTCAGGAGGCAGAGGTTGCAGTGAGCTGAGATTGCACCATTGCACCCAGCCTGGGCAATGAAGCGAGACTGTCTCACAAAAAAAAAAAAAAAAAAAAAAGAAAAGAAAAGAAAAATGAAAGAAATTTCCAGGCTAGGCATGGTGGCTGATGCCTGTAACCCCAGCACTTTGGGAAGCCGAGGTGGGTGGATGACCTGAGGTCAGGAGTTTGAGACCAGCCTGGCCAACACGGTGAAACCCTATCTCTACCAAAAATACAAAAATTAGCCAGGTGTGGTGGCGCAGGCCTGTAGTCCCAGCTACTTGGGAGGCTGAGGCAGGAGAATTGCTTGAACCCGGAAGGCAGAGGTTGCAGTGAGCTGAGATCGTGCCACTGCACCCCAGCCTGGGTGGGAGAATGAGACTCTGTCTCAAAAAGAAAAAAAAGAAATTTCCAGAACCTCAGAAGGCTCCCTGAGGTCCCCTGCCAGTTAGTAATCCCGCTTAAGGGTAATGACTGATTTCTCTTACCATGGATCAGTTGTGCCTGTTTTCATACTTCAAAAACATGAAATTAGGCATTTACTAATTACATTTAGGAATTACTGCTTTGGTTGGCCTCAGTGTCTCATACCTGTAATACCAGCACTTTGGGAGGCCAAGGTGGGAGGATCGCTTAAGCCCAGGAGTTTAAGACCAGCCTGGGCAACCAGGCGAGACCCTGTCTCTACAAAAGATAAAAAATAAGCTGGGTGTGGTGGCACATGCATGCCATGCCACTGCACTCCAGCCTGGGCAACAAAGCGAGAACTTGTCCCTCAAAAAATAAAAATAAAAAAAGGAATTACTGCTTTGTGTTTGACTTTTTTGGAGACAGGTCTGGATCTCCCAGGCTGGAGTGCAGTGGCATGATATTGGCTCTCCACCTGCAACCTCCACCTTCTGGGCTCAAGCTATCCTCCCACCTCAGCCTGCCAACTCCCAAGTAGCTGGGACTACAGGTACATGCCACCCCACCCAGCTAATTTTTGTATGTTTCTATAGAGACAGGATTTTCCCATGTTGCCCATGCTGGTCTCAAACTCCTGAGTTCAAGCAATCTACCTGCCTCAGCCTCCCAAAGTGCTAGGATTACAGGGGTGAGCCCCGTGCCCAGCAGTGTGTTTGATTTTTTTTTCTTTTCTTTTCTTTTTTTGAAACGGAAACTCATTCTGTTGCCCAGGCTGGAGTGCAGTGGCTCGATCTCGGCTTACTGAAGCCTTGGTCTCCTGGGTTCAAGCGATTCTCCTGCCTCAGCCTCCTGAGTAGCTGGGACTACTGGCGGGCACCACCATGCCCAGCTAATTTGTGTATTTTTAGTAGAGAGGGGGTTTCACCATGTTGGCCAGGCTGGTCTCAAACTCCTGACCTAAGGTGATCCACCCGCCTTGGCATCCCAAAGTGATGGGATTACAGGTGTAAGCCACCACGCCTGGCCTGATATCTTTTATGCAATATTATAAAATTCATTCACACAGTTTTGTCAAGGTGAAATAAAATATATAGATGAATCTCTAAAATTAAAATGTTTTGTGAAGCAGGAATTGTAATTCAGGGCACACGCAGACTGGGTGGTCTTTGCCATGTCTGCAGAACAAAGAGAAGGTTGGAAGTTTTGTAAAAAGGAAGTGTTATGTATTGCTCTTCAAGAAAGTTCACTGGCACTAGTAAGGTTTTGGAGAGCTGGCAAGTTTTGATTGGTAAGTGAAGGCAATAAGTAAAACTATTTCTGAGAGTCACAGTAGGTTGTTTTAACAGCTATTAGATAAAACTGCTTTCAGATTATAGCACGCAGTTTCAGCAGTGAGGCTCACTAAGAATGCCATTCTTGGAGTAGTTACATGCCCTGAGTACTTTTTCCCCCAGCCACTCTACTACTTTATTATTGTTATCATTATTATTTTATTATTTTATTTTTTACACAGGGTCTTGCTCTGTCACCCTGGCTGGAGTCCAGTGGCATGATCTCAGCTCACTGCAACCCAGCTACTCAGGAGGCTGGTCTCGAACTCCTGACCTCAGGTGATTGGCCCAACTCGGCCTCCCAGTGTGCTGGGATTACAGGCGTGAGCCACCGCACCTGGCCTGCAGTCTTTTAAAGGCAATTGTCAATTAAATTTCCAAAATGGACTTTCATTCTGTTATTTGAATAGAAATGGTGAGCTCTTGGCCAGCCGTGGTGGCTCATGCCTGTAATCCTAGCACTTTGGGAGGCCGAAGTGGGCGGATCACCTGAGGTCAGGATTTTGAGACCAGCCTGGCCAACATGGCGAAACCCCATCTCTACTGAAAATACAAAAATTAGTGGGCAACCATCCTGGCTAACATGGTGAAACCCCGTCTCTACTAAAAATACAAAAATTAGTGGGCAACCATCCTGGCTAACATGGTGAAACCCCGTCTCTACTAAAAATACAAAAAATTAGCCAGGCGTGGTGGCGGGCGCCTGTAGTCTCAGCTATTCGGGAAGCTGAGCCAGGAGAATGGCGTGAACCCAGGAGGCGGAGCCTGCAGTGAGCCGAGATCGCACCACTGCACTCCATCCTGGGCGACAGAGCGAGACTCCGTCTCAAAAAAGAAAAAAAAAAATTAGCTGGGCAACGTGGCGAGCACCTGTAATCTGAGCTACTCAGGAGGCTGAGGTAGGAGAATCACTTGAACCCAGGAGGCAGAGGTTGCAGTGAGCCGAGATCGTGCCACTGCACTCCAGCCTAGGCTACAGAGTGAGACTCCATCTCAAAAAAAAAAAAAGAAAAGAAATCGCGAGCTCTGCTATAAGGTACATTTGGGGATGGTTCCTAGGTTGTGAAGATGAAGTAAAGGAACTTTGAGAAAGAGACTGCAGCAGTGCCCAGTGTGCCCCTCTTGGCACTGACAGCCCAATCTGAGCCTAGAGATTCTCAAAGGATTCCAGACTCTTGCCCAGGGGCTCTTGGGTCATCCAGAGCATTGCGGGGCAAGACAGAATTAGAACAGACTCAAAAAAGAAAGCTGACCCACTCCTGACCCACTCACTATGTGCATATCTCTAAAGGGACAGGCCTGACCAAATAAGATGGAGCTGCCTTTCGCAAGACATTAGGGGTTAGTGGTAGTGCCGACTTGGGATGGCAGGAGACCCTGCTTCAATCTGGTCTTTGATTCGGCTTGGAAAACAAATCCAAATCTCCTTGTTGACAGAACTTGAGATGGTCCAACAGAGCTCCTTGGAGGTATGAGGCCTGAGGCCTGAAGCCTGAAGTGACCAGCAGGTAACTGGGCACCACAGCCTGAGGCCAATCAGCCCCAAGCAAGAGCATCCTGCTTCCTCAGAGGGTTTGTTTGCTTGAGGAAAGCGAAGGCTGGCAGTCATATTCCTTCAGGATCTTCCAAAAATGTTGGCAAGGGTGATCCTGATGAAGCCCCCTTGTTTGGAGGCCAATGCCAGCTCTAACTGGACTGGCAAGCCAAAAATGACCACTCTCTTTCCTGTAGTTCAGAATTCCCGACCTGCCCTAATGGAGACGCAACCTGAATCCAAGAGTGAGGCAGGCAGCTACAGATAAGTTTACAGCGTGATGACTACTTCATAAAGCACAAAAGACCATGTGGTTTAGATGGCAGGTCATGGAAATCTAAAGGGAATGGTGAAGTTGCACCGTAAGGGGAAGGTGACTGAGGAGCTGAAACTGACTGAGGGGCTGAAGCATTTCGGACAGGAGAAAGGATCAGGAGGAGACAGAGCGGAGAATGGAGCCTCAGGGCTACCCAGCGGTGGGAAGAGGGTAGCCAGAGACTCGTAGGGCGGCCTGGGTTGGTTGTGCTGGGCAGGTTCTCAGTGGTGGGAAAGTCTGGCCACACTGCCCTGACTTCCTGACTGGACTTCACCTCGAGGGTGGGAGCGGTTCCTGCCCCCCACCCCCCCACCCCCCTGTCCAGCCCTTGGAGCCAGGGCACGGTTTGTGACAGATTCAGGGAAACGTTTGGTGCCAGATGGGAGGTAACCGGGTTAAGGCCTGCACTAGGGAGGATTCCTTCCCCCAGCAGCACTGGTGGTCCTCACTTCCGGGTGCCTGCGGATAGGCGGGCTGGGGTCGGAGGTCGGCGGCCAGAAGCCAGATTCCCTTGGCCCCAGCTCGTCCACTTCCATCCAGCAGTAGCCAAACAACCGTTGAAAATGGCCTGGCGGCGGCCGGGAAACACCAGAGAACTATCTTCCAACCCCTAGATCCCGCCCATCTCGTTCCGGCGGTGTTTCCGTGGCGACGCTATCCGAAGTGCGGCTGCGCAAGGGTGACGGCGCGCGAGCAAGGGGGAGGGGGTGTTTTGGTTCTAGCCGCTCGCCGTCCTTGCAGGCTCTGCCGTCGGAAAGCCGCTCATTCTCGCTTCCCCTTCCCTTTCCCGGCTCAAGTCCTTCCTCTCTCTTTCCTTTCTTTCCGCCTATCTTTTTTCTGCTGCCGCTCCGGGTCCGGGCCATTTTCCGGGCCGGGCGCACTAAGGTGCGCGGCCCCGGGGCCCAGTATATGACCCGCCGTCCTGCTATCCTTCGCTTCCCCCGCCCCATGTGGCTGCGGGGCCGCGGCGGCGCTGCCCACTATGGCCCGGAAAGTAGTTAGCAGGAAGCGGAAAGCGCCCGCCTCGCCGGGAGCTGGGAGCGACGCTCAGGGCCCGCAGGTGAGGGTTGAGAGGCCGGCACCTGGGTGGTGAGGCTGAGGAACCAAGATGGGCTTAGGGTCCGCAGATCCTGCGACGGGAATCGGGGTCCAGGGTCTGCAGTCAGAGGCAAAACAGGAATGGGTTCAGGGCCTATAGGGTCAGGACTGGACCCTCGTTAACTGGAGGGCAGATAGGCCAGGGCGGTGAGGAGCCAAAGGGGAACTCAGGAATGGGACATAATCCGCGGGAGGCCTGCATTCGTGGATAGGGCTTGAAAAGAAACCAGAATCTTGGCTTTGGAGGAAGGGGAAACCGAAGTTAAGGGAATCGGAAACAAACTCTGGTAGAGTGAACTCTACCTTCCATGGGCCCTAGGAAGCTGGGATGATTGCGTCCCTCCTGGAAGAAGGAAGTAGTCTCCCTATATGTATACCCAACCCTGAGCTGGGCCTTTCGGCGTTTGGACCCCAAAAGAAACAACAGTTCCCAGGTATCATCTCTATGCCGCCCCCTTTGGAGGGGAAGGCCTTCTTGGACATAGATATGGCCTCTGATTTCCCGGGGGCCTACTACCCCGTTGGCGGTTGATTTTTCGAATTCTGCAACTGCCTGGAGCGCGGGCATGATGACAGAGGAACGGTCATTGATGATGCATCCCTGGAAGACCTGGGAGCCAGGTCTGGCTCCTTGGACTGTATCTTCCGTGCTCCAGTGGGAGTACAGACTGAGAGGGAGAAGGGGGCTGGGTAGAGATGCAGCCCATGTCGGTATGGGAATCACTCTACCTCTCATTTCCTTCAATCTTTCACTCCTAAAATGTCTAGTAAACCTTTTAGTCTGTTCTATTCTGCATTCATTCCCTTGACTTTCAGCCCTTGTAATTCACATTGGTAAGTTTGACTGTGAGCAACATCTTTTTAATGTTGGAAGAGTTAAACGACTTTCTGGATTGAGATTCTTGTTCTCTTGTGTTTGTATTTGTGTTGTTTGTAAATTCTGCAGTATGAGTTATGAGTTGGTGATTTCTGTAATACAGTAGGATCTGTTCTGAAGAAGAGTAGCCAAAGCCCTGATTTCTAATGTTGTTTCCACAGTTTGGCTGGGATCACTCGCTTCACAAAAGGAAAAGACTTCCTCCTGTGAAGAGATCCTTAGTATACTACTTGAAGAACCGGGAAGTCAGGCTACAGAATGAAACCAGCTACTCTCGAGTGTTGCATGGTTATGCAGCACAGCAACTTCCCAGTCTCCTGAAGGAGAGAGAGTTTCACCTTGGGACCCTTAATAAAGTGTTTGCATCTCAGTGGTTGAATCATAGGCAAGTGGTGTGTGGCACAAAATGCAACACGGTAAGTGCCTGGGGGGATGTGACCTCTCTCCTAGGTCGTGGATATATTGCTCCACTTGCTCTAGAACCTCTGCTAGTTTTCCCGTCTGTTTCTTTTAGGAGGGACTTGCCTTACTCTCCTTTCCATTCTTTCCCGTTGGTGACTTCTTCCTCTTTTCGTGTTCCTTTTTTCACTCATACATTTCTTTTCTGATAAGTCCTCAAAGGAGTGTATTTCTTCAGGCCCTCTCTGGATGTGCTGCTTCTAGAGGGTTGTTTGTTTGTTTGTTTGTTTTTGCCTCATATTTTTATGCTGGTTTTTAAGTCATAGGCCTCAAAGGAAAGATTTAAGAAATAATGATGCTTAGAGCATCATTCAGGATACATAATAGTGAAAACAGCCTAAGAACGTATGTCGAAGTATTTAAAATAGCACACTTGGCTGTTTTTTAGTGAACAGAATCTAAAAATGTATAAACTGAAATATGAGAAATACATGAACTGTTTCCTATAAGGAAGGCAGGGAATGTGTGTCTGGTAGTATATTTCAGGGTATAAGCATTAGCTCTTTGGAAAGTAGCCTTTTTAAGAGTGAATAGAAAGACAGTTATAAATGAATGAAGTGAAAAATTTCTCAGTAAGCTTTGTAACCAACCCAATTATAGGCCAGGATAAAATAAGTCAAAGAGCAGAAACGTTTGGAATAGAGTCCACGAATAGCATGATGTCACAAGACTGGCAAATGAAAAGAGGCAGGGCCTAGGGCCTAGGGGTGGGAAATGATTACGCCCAGCCCTCCCTCGGTTTTCACCTCCCCTGTGTGAATGGACAAGTAATGTCATAATGTGTGAGTAAATTGACCCTGGAATGAAACACATTTTGGATCATTAAAAGAGAGAAGATTGCTCTAGATCAAGAAAGTCTTAAGTACTAGGAGAAGTGTCTGTTTATAAAGGACATAGGCAAAAATTTAAACAGTTTTAAGGAAGGAAATAATACCATGGTGGTTGGTCTGTTTATAAAGGACATAGGCAAAAATTTAAACAGTTTTGAGGAAGGAAATAATACCATGGTGGTTGGGGCCAACCTTTCGTTTCCTCTTCTGTTGAGGAGTCGCTTGTCTTACCCAGAAGCCTTTCAAAACTAAGTGGTGGCAACGGGCCTCCACAGAACTTCCTTTTCTTGGTCTCTCCAGCTGCCCACTCGTGGTTAAGAACTGTCATCCTTGTCACTTGGAGTAGAAAAAGAGTCTCCTGCTTGGAAGAGTTCATTCCACTCCCCGCACGTGCATCATAGTGTTTAGCCTAGCAAATATTACTGAATTGTAAACTGAATTAATCATCATAGCCTCTTGCTTGTTGAATTTATTGACACTATTTTGAAGGCGAGCATAATAAGTAATAATTTAACCTACTCTTAATTCCTACCTCTTTCTGTCTTCCTAATCCTCATAACCTAGTGTTTGGGGCAAGGGGAGCTGTTTTCATTTTATAGTTAGTATTTGTTTGTTTTTGCTTAGCTTCCAGAACCAAAGCAGGGAACTAGGAATAGTGCTCTTCTCTGAACTTTGTGACATTGGGCAAATGATTCCCTTATTTGTGCTTTTGTTTTTGCATCTGCAAAATGGGAGTGATAATATCTGGTGCTAAGGTGTCTGCATGCATCTGGGAAATATTCTGAGTGAGCAATATCTTACTTATTTAAAAGTACTAGTAGCGGTAAAAATGATTTCCATAACCTTTTCCCACAATTTGAAGAGAGGAAAATTATTTAAAAATTGGAATTGTCTTTGGATAATGTGTGAAGATTTCAGAGGTGGGAGAGATTATGTTGTATTCTCAATAGGAAAGTTTTGATGTAGAATGTCCCTGTGCTGTGGGCTAACAATCAAACTAGGGTAGTCATTCAATCCCCAGATTTCTTGGCCCCAGCTAGCACAGCAGTAACAGCAAGGATAGCCACTGTTGTTTTTATCATTAATAACAATAAAGTCATATTTTTACTCAACTGCTTAAGTAGAGGTGGTATAACCTTAATTAGAACATGGATCTGGCAGCTGGGATGGGTTAGGTATATGTTCATGGTTTAGACTTACGCAAATTCAGATTGGCTGCGGAGCCAGACAGAAAAGCTAAGTGAAGAAAAGTTTGCTAGGCGCAAGACAGTAAGGAGTAGTAGGGGCTGCAAAGAACTACAGAAGGCATTCTTGACTTTAACCAACTGTTGCCGTGTAGGAATTTGAGCCTAGTGTTAAAAAGATTTTCTTTCGCAGGGCAAGGTGGCTCACACCTGTAATCCCAGCACTTTGGAAGGCCAAGGCGGGCGGATCACCTGAGGTCAGGAGTTCGAGACCAGCCTGGCCAACATGGTGAAACCCTGTTTCTACAGAAGTACAAACAAATTAGCTGGGCATGATGGTGGGTGCCTGTAATCCCAGCTACTCGGAAGGCTGAGGCAGGAGAATTGCTTGAACCCGGGAGGCGGAGGTTGTAGTGAGCTGAGATTGTGCCATTCTACTCCAGCCTGGGCAACAGAGTGAGACTCCGTCTCAAAAAAAAAAAAAAAAAAAAATTGATACTAATGTCTTGAACCTATATAACTGGAAAGATGGCAGGGTGAATGTTAAGGAACAGATTTGGGTTTTGTCCTTTTCATCAATTAGTTGAAGCTTGGCAGAGAGTAAGGATTGAAGTTAATGATTTGGCAGTCATTTATGTAGAAGGAATTATTGAAATTGTTACATTATCATGGGAAAGACAGTAGAGAGCAGGCATTCCTGGCTTGAGTTGTGTAAACTTTCCCTAAAATTGCAAAGTTTTGATTATATGTGTACTTTCTGGGCAAGATTTTGGGGGGGTGGTGTGGGAAGTCGTTCTTAGTTTTTGTCCTTAGATTTTGAAAGAGAGTACTATGAGCCAAAAATGGTTAAGAACCACTGATACTGACAGATAAGCTAAGGAGAGAACCTTGGAAAACATGTACATTTACAGGGCAAGAAGAACTGCTGCGGGGGAGCAGGGAACTCAGGAAAACCGGGAGAATACAGAAAAGAATTCAAGAAAGGAGGACTTTATTTTTGTTTGTTTGCTTTTTTGGTTTTTTTGAGACAGAGTCTCGCTATGTCACCAGGCTGGAGTGCAGTGGCGCGATCTCAGCTCACTGCAACCTCTGCCTCCTGGGTTCAATCGATTCTCCCGCCTCAGCCTCCTGAGTAGCTGGGATTACAGGTACCTGCCACCACACCCAGCTAATTTTTGTATTTTTAGTAGAGATAGGGTTTCACCGTGTTGGCCAGGATGGTCTCGATCTTCTGACCTCGTGATCCGCCTGCCTTGGCCTCCCAAAGTGCTGGGATTACAGGCATGAGCCACCGCGCCTGGCCGAAAAGAGGGCTCTTGAAGGGGCTGGGGGTGGGGTGTGATTTGAGGAGAAGGATGGCAATCGGCAGAGTGATGATCTACACAGTTGGAGGTATTTAATTTTGGACGTGAACTCTTATTTCCCATTGTCAGCACTCTCCAGTCAAAGACTACCAGGGACTGTTCTTGTAGCAGAACAAGTCAGATATAGTTGCTTGTTGTACCTAGGAGAACCTTCACCATAAGAGAGCGAGGGACCTCTCGGTAAGAGTGCTGGAAAGGAGTTACAACACTGGGACTTGTTGCACGTGATTTGGGGGACGGCTTAAGGATATAGCACTTTGCTCCAGATGGATACTGTCACGACGGGCAAATTCTATGTTTGGGTATCTTAATCTTATCTAGCAGGAGGTTAAAGCTGTAATTGATAAAGATGAAACAGTCATTTATATTAGCCAGGTTAAGGGGATGTTTGATCTTTTTGTGGTTTAGTCAGTGTTCTTGGGTTTTTTTGTTTGTTTGTTTGTTTTTTGAGATGGAGTCTCGCTCTGTTGCTCAGGCTGGAGTACAGTGGCATGATCTTGGCTCACTGCAACCTCCGTCTCCCAGGTTCAAGTGATTCTCTCACCTCTGCCTCCCGAGTGGCTGGGAGTACGGGCACATGCCACCACGCACAGCTAATTTTCGTATTTTTAGTAGAGACAGGGTTTCACCATGTTGGCCAGGCTGGTCTCGAACTCCTGACCTCAGGTGATCCACCTGCCTCAGCCTCCCAAAGTGCTGAGATTACAGGTGTGAGCCACCTTGCCTGGCCAGTGTTCCTGTTTTGGTCTGTGTTCAGGTATGATTATAGAGTGGTCTTGTTTTTGTCTTTATCACAGTTGCAGAGTGGCCTTGTCTGATGTTGATATTCTCTGAAATTATTTATTTACGCTAGGACACCAAGGCCTACCTGAGAGTATCAGGCTAACCCATTATGTCAGGGTTGCTTTGTTTTCTTTTTTTTTTTTTTTTTTGAGACCGCGTCTTGCTGTGTTGCCAAGGCTGGAGTGCAGTGGCACGATCTTGGCTCACTGTAACCTTTGCCTCCGGGTTCAAGCGATTCTTGTGCCTCAGCCCCCCGACTAGCTGGGACTACAGGCGCGTGCTACCATGCCTGGCCAATTTTTGTATTTTTAGTAGAGACGGGGTTTCACCATGCTGGCCAGGCTGGTCTCAAACGCCTGACCTCATGTAATCTGCCCGCCTCAGCCTCCCAAAGTGCTGGGATTACAAACGTGAGCCACCATGCCCAGCCACTTTGTTGTTTTTCAAGACAGCATTTTGCACTCAGGGTGGAGTACAGTGGTGCAGTCATGGCTCACTGCAGCTTCAAATTCCTGGGCCCAAGGGATCCTCCTGCCCCAGAATCCTGAGTAGCTGGGACTATATCACATGCCATCATACCTGGCCTTTTTTTTTTTTTTTTTTTTTTTTTTTTTTGAGACGGACTTTCATTCTTGTTGCCCAGGCTGAAGTGCAGTGGCTCAGTTTCAGCTCACTGCAACCTCCGCCTCCCAGGTTGAAGTGATTCTCCTGCCTCAGCCTCTTGAGTAGCTGGGATTATAGGCGCCCACCACCAAGCCCGGCTAATTTTTTTGTTTTTTAGTAGAGACAGGGTTCACCATGTTGGCCAGTATTGGCTGGGTATAGTGGCTCATGACTGTAATCCAGCACTTTGGGAAGCTGAGACAGGAAGATCACTTGAGCCCAGAGATTCAAGACCAGACCAGCCTGGGCAATGTAGTGAGACCCCATCTCTACAAAATATTTAAGAATTAGCTGGGCATGGTGGCTTGTGCCTTTGGTCCTAGCTACTCAGGAGGCTGAAGTGGGAGGATGGCTTGAGTCTGGGAAGTGGAGGCTGCAGTTAAATGGGATTACACCACTGCACTCTAGCCTGGGTGACAGAGCACGACCCTGTCTCAAAAAAAAAAAAAAAAACCGCAAAAGTACATAGTATTTGTTGAAAGAAGAGCCTAAAAATGTTATACCCTTTTGCCTAAAATGTTCACACCTGAGAATTTATCCAAAGGAAAAGTCGTTTTTAACAAGATAATAATTGGAAGCTACTTAATCTAAATACTAACAATCGAATACTTAAGTAAATAGTGATAAATCTGGATGGTATTATGCAGACATTAACATAATTATGGAGACTGTAATGTGCGAAGAATTCAGTACGTTTAATGAAATGAGATACAAAATCCTGTCTCTGCTGATAATAGCTGTGCACAATTAAAATATATATGTGGTTGAAGACTAAACAGGAACCTGACAAATGAAAAACAGATTTTAAAAGAGAGAAAATTCTGAGTGATCTTTCTTGCATTTTAAATTTCTGTATTGTTGATAAAGTATCGTTTGTACAATAAACACTCATCTTTTAAAACTGTTATTTCAGCTAGATGAACCTTGCGTTTTCTTATCCTAAAATGACGGTGAGAAGGACCGAAGTAGGGGCTCAAAAATACAGTAGTAGAATATGCAACAAAAGGAGTTGCTCCTCTTAGTCACACAGTGAGTTTTTTGGAGCTCAAAATAGCCCCTGGTGAGGGCTCTTGATTCTCAATGGGCAAATACACAACCATATGGTCCTGGTCCTCAAGTCTTAATGCTGTTATACTTAGGAAGTAAGTGTGAGATAAGAGAGATATTATTATTATTATTATTTTCTTTTTTGAGACAGGGTCTTACTCTGTTGCCCAGGCTGCAGTGCACTGGCGCAATCTTGGCTCACTGCAATCTCCGCCTCCCAGGTTCAAGCGATTCTTCTGCTTCAGCACCACCAAGTAGCTGGGATTACAGGTGTGTGCCACCACGCCCGGCTAATTTTTGTATTTTTAGTAGAGATGGGGTCTTGCCATATTGGCCAGCCTGGTTTTGAACTCCTGACCTCAGGTGATCTGCCCACCTCTGCCTCCCAAAGAGCTGGGATTATATGCATGACCCACCACGCCCGGCCATATTATCATTATTTAACACTATTGTTAAGAGTTTATAATCTCTTATACCAGATACGTAATTACCGTCTCTGCTCTCCAGTAGTTTGCAAGTTAGGGATAAAGCTCCCTGTTAATTCTGAGTAGAAGGCCTTATACCTGGAAATGTCACCAGGGAACAAAAACCTGAAAGTTTCCTGTGTACAGATTTTCTCCTGAATAACTTACACGTTAACTGTTAGCATCCTTGAGTATATAGAAATCAATTTCAGGCCGGGGGCAGTGGCTCACTCCGGTAATCCCGGCACTTTGGGAGGCTGAGGCAGGTGGATCACTTGAGGCCAGGAGTTCGAGACCAGCCCGGCCAACATGATGAAATCCCGTCTCTACTAAAAACACAAAAATTAGCCGGGCATGATGCCGCATGCCTGTGGTCCCGGCTACTCGGGAGTCTGAGTCAGGACAGTCGCTTGAACCCGGGAGGCAGAGGTTGTAGTGAACTGAGATTGTGCCACTGCACTCCAGCCTGGGCGACAGAGTGAGTCTGTCTTTTTTTCCATCTTGGAAAAAAAACAAAAGAAATAAATCAATTTCCATCTTCTATAGGTAGGAAGAAATAAAGATTCTTATGAAATCAGACTATTGGACTAATCCTTTTATTTCCCCTTTCATTTTTCAGATTGGTATCACTTGGAAATAGGTGATGGGATTTGTAAACATATAAAAGCAATACTAAATAGGGTTCTGATTTAACAGTCCAAGAATAATTTCTTTTTTTGTTTGTTTTTTTGAGACAGAGTTTCGCTCTTGTTGCCCAGGCTGGAGTGTGATGGCGCGATCTCGGCTCACTGCAACCTCCGCCTCCTGGGTTCAAGCAGTTCTCCTGCCTCAGCCTCCCGAGTAGCTGGAATTACAGGCATGCGCCACCACACCCAGCTAATTTTGTATTTTTAGTGGAGATGGGGTTTCTCCATGTTGGTGAGGCTGGTCTCGAAATCCCAACCTCAGGTGATCCTCCCGCCTGGGCCTCCCAAAGTGCTGGGATTACAGGTGTGAGCCACTGCACCCAGCAAGAATTTCTTTTTAACAAATATTTGTTTAGATAGATGCTTAAGGTAGCTAAACCTCTGTTGTATGTTGTCAAAGTTTATGTGGTGACTTTGGTGGGTACTAGGTAAAATCAAGGTGTCTTGCCAAAGCTGGCTTTTAGGATTCAGTCCATTTTTAACAGAGACCTCCAAAATCAAGGATTAGAGGCCGGGCGCGGTGGCTCACACCTGTAATGCCAGCACTTTGGCCGGCCGAGGCAGGCAGATCACGAGGTGAGGAGATCAAGACCATCCTGGCTAACACGGTGAAACCCTGTCTCTACTAAAAATACAAAAAATTAGCCGGGCGTGGTGGTGGGCACCTTTTTTTTTTGAGCTCCATCTCAAAAAAAAAAAAAATCAAGGATTAGAAATCAATTTACTGCTAGATATAAAGCTTATAAGAATATGTCACTTAAATCCAAAATAATTGTAAATCCTAATGTGGCCCTCCTTCCACGAAGTCATGATTCTGTGGCGAAACATCAGAATTCAAGACCTATTATGAAGTACCATTACTTATCTTAGCTAGCTAGTAGTGTAGTCCATCTTGTGTAGGAACAGTTTAGATTCACAGCTCAGAGTGTCTAAGATCTTGGCATAGCGCAGACACGTGGACTGATTGATGATTGATTTTTGAGACGGAGTCTCGCGCTATTGCCCAGGCTGGAGTGTAGGGGCACGATCTCGGCTTACTGCAACCTCCGCCTCTTGGGTTCAAGCGATTCTTCTGCCTCATCCTCCCGAGTAGCTGGGATTACACACCCGTCACTGTGCCCGGCTAATTTATGTATTTTTAGTAGAGATGGCGTTTCGCCATGTTGGCCAGGATGGTCTCAAACTTCTGACCTAGAGTGATCTGCCCCCCTCAGCCTCCCAAGTGCTAGGATTACAGGCGTGAGCCACCGTGCCCGGCCGGATTTATTTATTAATTTATTATTATTATTTGAGGCAGAACCTTGCCCTGTTGCCCAGGCTGAGTGGTGCCATCTTGGCTCACTACAACCTCCGCCACCTGAGTTCAGGCGATTCTCCTGCTTCAGCCTCCCAAGTAGCTGGGACTACAGGTACGCACTACTATGCCCGGCTAATTTTTGTATTTTTAATGGAGACAGGGTTTCATTCACTTTGTTGGCCAGGCTGATCTTGAACTCCTGACCTCAAGTGATCTGCCTGCCTTGACCGCCCAAAGTGCTGGGATTACAGGTGTGAGCCACTGTGCCCAGCCAGATTTATTTATTTATTTGTATTATTTATTTATTTATTTTTGAGACGGACTCTCTCTGTCGCCCAGGCTGGAGTTCAGTGGCGCGATCTCTGCAGCCTGCCCCTCCTGGGTTCAAGCGATTCTCCTACCTCAGCCTCCCGAGTAACTGGGATTAAAGGCGACTGCCACCATGCCCGGCTAATTTTTATATTTTTAGTAGAGACAGGGTTTGCCATGTTTGCCAGGCTGGTCTTGAACTCCTGACCTCAGTTGATCTGCCCACCTCCCAAAGTGCTAGGATTACAGGCGTGAGCCACCGCACCCAGCCCTGGATTTATTTATTTAATTTTGTTCCTCCTTATTCCCCAGTACTAAGAGGAGGCCCTGGATTTCAATAAAAGAATGTTCATTGCCATGTTTTGTATTACTAAAAATTTGGACGTGGCATAAATGTTCAATAATAGGGAATTAATTCAATTAATGTCAGTATATTCATGCAGTGAACTACCTTATCGCCGTTAAAGGTATGTAGTGGCAAGGCTTGATGGCTTATGTCTGTAATCCCGCACTTTGGGAGACTAAGGCGGGAGGATTGCCTGAGCCCAGGTGGGTTTTATTACAACATGGGCAACAAAGTGGCACCCTGTCTCTATAATTAAAAAAGATGTACAGTAGTTCAAACTGTTCACCCATCACTAGTTCCTCAGTGTAAGTTCCTAAAATTGGTATTACAAGCTATATATATATGTCTATGGGGAGACTGCAGAGACTATAGGGTCCTGCTATGTGTATATATATACTTTTTTTTTTTTGAGACGAAGTCTTGCTCTGTCGCCAGGCTGGAGTGCGGTGGCGCTATCTCGGCTCACTGCAACCTCCGCCTACCGGGTTCAAGTAATTCTCCTGCCTCAGCCTCCCAAGTAGCTGGGACTACAGGTGCAGGCCACCATGCCCAGCCGCCCGGCTAATTTTTTGTATTTTTAGTAGAGACGGGGTTTCACCATGTTAGCCAGGATGGTCTCGATCTCCTGACCTCGTGATCCGCCCGCCTCGGCCTCCCAAAGTGCTGGGATTACAGGTGTGAGCCACCGCGCCTAGCCGCTATACATATTTTTAATGTTTGATACATATTGTCTGTCCATTTTCTGTTGTGTTTCTTGGTCTTGGCTCTCTCCTTTGCTCCTCCCCACTTTCTCAGATTGGGATAGTGAATAGATTCTTCTGCTTTGATTTCACTTGTCTTTCCTTTCCCAACCTCTCCACAGACTTAGGTTGCCCACCTGTCTTTTACTGACTGCAACATAGTGTGTCTTGTTGTCTGTGTGACCTGCGTAGAATTACTTTCCTTTCTCATTGGGCTCCAGTCTGAAACACCCTTGAATTTTAGAAACATTGTAAGGTTACCCCTTCCTCTTTTTTTTGTTTTTGTGTTTTTTGTTTTTAGAGGCAAGGTCTTGCTCTGTCACCCAGGCTGGAGGGTAATGGCACAATTATAGCTCACTGAAGCCTTGACCTCCTGGGCCCATGAGATCCTCATGCTTCAGCCTCCCAAATAGCTGGGACGATAGGTTCCTGCTACCACATCTGACTCCTTTTTTTTAAGCCATCTTTGTCTTTGTGTACACTCATTTACATTTGTCTAGATACACATGAATGCATGCAGAGATAGACTCACTAGTCTTACATGTCTCTTTCCCCCCATCCTAGAATGTAAACTGCAGGGAGCCCGAGCCTCGAGCTTACCTTGCCGCGCTGCTAGTTTCTGGCAGGGATCCCAGTAGGTTAATGTGGAGCAGCCTCATTCTGGGAAATGTTAGTGGAGCTGCATGAATCCTTGGACCCTTGTCAGAGAGCTTGGGAAGAGATTCTGTGGCAGCTCATCCACATCCTGTTTCTTCCCATGAAGAAGCAGGGTGGCTCTATCCTTCAAGTGGTTCATTGTCATTCCTTTGCAATAATGAGGGTGAGGTTGGGGGCACACTCTTAGT
Source organism: Homo sapiens (assembly GCF_000001405.40). Lineage (NCBI taxonomy): Eukaryota > Metazoa > Chordata > Mammalia > Primates > Hominidae > Homo > Homo sapiens. The sequence continues at coordinate 34,114,421 of NC_000009.12, read as the reverse complement.
TTAGCTAATTTTTGGATTTTTAGTAGAGACAAGGTTTCACCATATTGGCCAGGCTGGTCTCAAACTCCTGACCTCAGGTGATCCACCAGCCTCAGACTCCCAAAGTACTGGGATTACAGGTGTGAGCCACCGCATCCAGCCAAGATCAACTTTTTAAGGTTCCACATATAAGTGAGGTCATTCAGTATTCTATACTTGGCTTGTTTCACTTAACATAATGTCCTCTAGGTTCATCCATGTTGTCCAAAGGATTTCATTCTTTTTTATAGCTAAACAGTATTGCATTGTGTATCTGTGCCACATTTTTTTTTTTGAGACGGAGTATTTGCCCTGTCGCCCAGGCTGGAGTGCAGTGGCATGATCTCGGCTCACTGCAAGCTCCGCCTCCCAGGTTCACGCCATTCTCCTGCCTCAGCCTCCTGAGTAGCTGGGACTACAGGTACCCACCACCACGCCCGGCTAATTTTTTGTATTTTTAGTAGAGACGGGGTTTCACTGTGTTAGCCAGGATGGTCTCGATCTCCTAACCTCATGATCCGCCTGCCTTGGCCTCCCAAAGTGCTGGGATTACAGGCATGAGCCACTGCGCCTGGCCTGTGCCACATTTTCTTTATGCATTTATTCACTGATGCACACTTCGGCTGATTCCGTATCTTGGCTATTGTGAATAATGCTGCAGTAAACATGCAAATTCAGAAATGCCTAATGGAAGAGTTTTAGGGTAAGGCCTGGGAATTGTTTTTGTTTTGTAGTGTTTTGTATTGTTTTTTAAAGAAAATTCAGCCTTGGTGCGGTGGCTCATGCTTGTAATCCCAGCACTTTGGGAGGCTGAGATGAGCGGATCACTTGAGGTCAGGAGTTTGAGACCAGTCTGGCTAATATGGTGAAACCCTGTCTCTACTAAAAATTCAAAAATTAGCTGGGCACAGTGGTGTGCACCTGCCATCCCAGCGACTTGGGAGGCTGAGGCACGAGAATCACTTGAACCCGGGAGCCAAGATCACGCCACTGCATTCCAGCTTGGGTGACAGAGCTAGACTCTGTTTCAGAAAAAAATAAGAAAAAATTCAGGCCGCGTACAGTGGCCCATGCCTGTAATCCCAGCACTTTCGGAGGCCAAAGCAGGCAGATCACCTGAGGTGAGGAGTTTGAGACCAGCCTGGCCAACATAGTGAAACCCTGTCTCTACTAAAAATACAAAAATTAGCCGGGCGTGGTGGCAGGCACCTGTAATCCCAGGTACTCGGCGAGGCTGAGGCAGGAGAATTGCTTGTACCCAGGAGGCAGAGGTTGTGGTGAGCCAAGATCATGCCATTGCACTCCAGCCTGGGCAACAAGAATGAGACTGTATCTCAAAAAATATTTTGATCAGCAGTTTGGGAATCCCTGGTCTAAAAGCTACATGTTATGGTTGCATTGTCTCACACAACACAAATATGTGAGTGGGCAATTAATTTTGTTTCAGGAAATAATTTGAGGATTATCTGGTTAGGGATCATTTGTTTATTATTAGTTTATTTTTTGAGACAGAGTTTCGCTCTTATTGCCCAGGTTGGAGTGCAATGGCGTGATCTCAGCTTACCTCAACCTCTGCCTCCCGGGTTCAAGCGATTCACCTGCCTCAGCCTCCCGAGTAGCTAGGATTACAGGCATGTGCCACCACACCCGGCTAATTTTGTATTTTTAGTAGAGACAAGCTTTCTCCATGTTGGTCAGGCTGGTCTCGAACTCCCAACCTCAGATGATCCGCCCTCCTCGGCCTCCCAAAGTACTGGGATTACAGGTGTGAGCCACCACACCCAGCCAATATTTTTTATTTTTTGTTTTTGAGATGGATTCTCACTCTGTCGCCCAGGCTGGAGTGCAGTGGTGTGATCTCGGCTCATTGCAACCTCCACCTCCTGGGTCCAAGCAATTCTCCTGCCTCAGCCTCCCGAGTAGCCAGGATTACAGACTCACGCCACCACACCTGGCTGATTTTTGTATTTTTAGTAGAGATGGTTTCGTCATGTTGGCCAGGCTGGTCTTGAAGTCCTGACCCCAGGTGATCCGCCTGCCTTGGCCTCCCAAAGTACTGGGATTACAGGCGTGAACCACCACGCTCAGCCTGGGATCATTTGTTTAAAAGGATAAGAAACCCACTCACATTTATTGGAAAGACGAGTTCACAAACCCCAAGAACAGAAAGTATTATTGGATCTCAGAGAGAAGTGGAAACAGGAATTGAAAAGCCACTAGGAACCAAGGATGTCCATGTTTCCTGTCTTTTTTTTTTTTTTGAGTTGGAGTCTCACACTGTCACCCAGGCTGGAGTGCAATGGCACGATCTTGGCTCACTGCAACCTCCACCTCCTGAGTTTAAGCAATTCTCCTGTCTCAGCCTCCCGAGTAGCTGGGATTACAGGCGCCCGCCACCACATCCAGCTAATTTTTTTTTTTTTGTATTTTTAGTAGAGATGGGGTTTCACCATGTTTGCCAGGCTAGTCTTGAACTCCTGACTTGAAGTGATCCACCCGCCTCAGCCTCCCTAAGTGCTGGGATTACAGGCATAAGCCACTGCGCCTGGCCCATGCTTCAAGTCTCAAGTTTTCTTTTCTCCAAGGACTGGCTTTGGTAAAAAGTGGCCACCCGGGCGGTTTGGTCTAGTGCCACCAGCCAGTTACATATTCCCTAAAGAATCTGAATGGCCTAGTCCAATCTAGCCTTTGGACTGATTGTCCTGAAACTCCCTCTAGACTGTGCTGTGATCAGGGGGTCTAGGCTTATAGCAAATAAAACAGCTACAGAGCCTCACCCTCACAGGGATGTGGGGGCCTACTACAGTAGTTGGGCAGGCCCTCTGAAAGGTGACTGTTGTAAATGCTTAAGTAGTTGCTGGGGCAAGATTGTAGAATCAAATAAGATAAATTCTCTGCACTTAGAATTGGGAGAGAGTTAATAGCTTTATGAGGAAGACAAATAAGTAAATATTTTAAATCAGTGCGATATGGTCTAAGTGTTGTGGGTAGAGGGATATCTTGGGAGCCTACAAGAGAGGCACTTGATCAGCCTGGACATTTAGAGAGTAGTCCAAGAGGACATATCTGAACCGAATCATGAAAGATAAGTACATGTTGGCCAGGTAAAAGAGTAGGAGAGGCTGGGTGCGGTGGCTCACACCTGTAATGCCGGCACTTTGGGAGGCTGAGGCAGGTGGATCACAAGGTCAGGAGTTCCAGACCAGCCTGGCCAATATGGTGAAACCCCATCTTTAGTAAAAATATAAAAATTAGCTGGGCGTGGTGGTGCACGCCTGTAGTCCCAGCTGCTCGGAGGGCTGAAGCAGGAGAATTGCTTGAACCCAGGAGGCAGAGGTTGCAGTGAGCTGAGATCATGCCACTGCACTCCAGCCTGGGCGACAGAGCAAGACTTGGTCTCAAAAAAAAAAAAAAAAAACAGAAAAGAATAGGAGAATCATTTCTGGCATTGTGAACAGCATGAGCATGAAACAAAATAATTATATTTCATTGAAGAATTTTTCATGTATGATATTTATAAGCAATTATTTCTAGAGTTTGAAGTCCATGGCAAGAGGTGATGATAGTAGAGGCTGGACTGAGGAGACTCTTGGTTTTGTTTTGTTTTGTTTTGTTTTGTTGAGGCAGGGTCTTGCTCTGTCACCCAGGTGCGAGTGCAGTGGCACCATCATGGCTCACTGCAGCCTTGACCTCCTGGGCTCAAGTAGAGACAGGGTCTCACTGTGCTGCCTGAGCTGTTCATAAATTCCTGGGCTGAAGTAATACTTCTTTCTCGGCCTTCCAAAGTCTGGCCCCGAGGAGAGTCTTAATGCCATGCTAAGTATCTCAGATTTAGGTGACGGGGAGTCATTGGATGTTTTTTAGTTGGGGACTGGCATGGGAAGATTTCCATTTTTAGGAAGTTGACTCTGCTTATAATAGAATAATTTTGATAGCGGTGTTGCCTGAAGGCACAAAGACTAATTGTGGTTGTCCAAGGAGAAGTGATGAGTGAGGAAGCAGAGGAAGGAGTCAGCTGTAAGAATATTTAGGAGGTAGGTTAGGCAGGACTAGGATGATGGAAATGAGGGAAAAGGAGTAATTTAGGATAAAATCCACACTTGAGTGACAGGGTAGATAGTGGTGGTGTTAGGAAAGTGAGCAATTTGAGGAGCAAGGTTATTTGTTTTGGGCATATTCAGTTTCAGATGCTTGTGGGATGCATCAGCAATGATGCCAGTTAGGCAGGGAGTCTGCTGCTCTCAGGTAGTTGCCAGTTTGAGAGTGGTTTGTCCCCTTCTTCCCCCTGCTCCCACTCAGTCTCTGACACTCTTCTAGCTACTCCTTTCTCTCTCTCTGTCTTTAATAAACATATATTATATATATTTAAATATATAAAGTACATATTATATATACATATATAATTATATATAATTTAAATATTTATATATGTATCCAGTGTAATGCCCCCACCCAAGGTGTTGGACATGGTGGTAGAGCCCTACAATGTCACCCTCTCCGTCCACCAGCTCACAGAAAACACAGACGAGACCTTTTGCATTGATAAGGAAGCTCTCTAAGACATCTGCTTCCGACCCCTAAAGCTGCCCACACCCACCTATGGTGTCCTGAGCCACCTGGTGTCTGCACTGTGAGTGGGGTCACCACCTGCCTGAGCTTCCAGGGCCAGCTCAATGGCCATGAACAGGGTCCTATTCCCCCGCTTGCACTTCTTCATGTCTGGACTCATCCAGACCATACAGGACAACCAGCAGTACTGAGCCCCGATGGTGCCCAAGCCCATCCAGCGGATGTTTGATGCCAAGAATATGATGGCTGCGTGGGACCCCCCTCTGTGGCTGTTGCTTAGCAGCTGCCATGTTCAGGGGCCGTACGTGCACGGAGGAGGTGGATAAGTAAATGCTTAATCTCCAAAACAAGGACAGCAGCTACTTTGTTCATTGAATCCCCCACAAGGTGAAAACAGCTGTCTGTAACATCCCACCCTGGGGGCTAAAGATGGCTGCCACCGTCATTGGCAACAACACAGCCATCTAGGAGCTGTTCAGGTGCATCTCGTACAGTTCACAGCCATTTTCTGGCACAAAGCCTTCCAGCACTAGTACATGGGAAGTGGCATGGATGAGATGGAGTTCACTGAGGCTGTGAGCAGCATGAACATGTCCGAGTACAGGATACCACAGCCAAGGAGGAGAGAGAGTTTGAGGAGTGGGCCTATGAGGAGGTGGCCTAGAGCCTTCTGTTTTTGGGTAAAGGGAAGAAGTGATGTGAACTTTTTATTCACCCATAGTCTGTTCTGTGATAGCCATGTCTGTGTGTGCACTTGTTCTTCATGTCTTGACATCACAGCTCTAAAGACACTCCAATGAAACCATTTTCCTAGTGAAAAAAAAAAAAACCATATATATATATATATATAAAAACATATACATAAAATACATATATGTATTTGTTTGAGATAGGGTCTTGCTGTTTTGCCCAGGCTGGACTCAATTTGTGATCCTTATGCCTCAGCCTCCTGAGTAGCTAAGTAGTTGGGACTACAGGCACTTGCCACCTTGTCCACCTCATTCATATATATATATATATATTTATTTATTTATTTTTTTTGAGACCAAGTCTCACAGTCTCACACTGTTGCCCAGGCTGGAGTGCAGTGGCTCGATCCCGGCTCACTGCAACCTCCGCCTCCTCGGTTCAAGCGATTCTTCTGCCTCAGCCTCCCGAGTAGCTGAGATTACAGGCGTGTGCCACCATGCCCAGCTAATTTTGTAAGTTTAGTAGGGTTTTCACCATGTTAGCCAGGCTGATCTCGAACTCTCAAGCTCTGGTGATCCGCCCGCCTTGGCCTCCTAAAGTGCTGGCATTACAGGCGTGAGCCACTGCGCTCGGCCCTTTTTATATTTTAAACTTAAGACTCACCTAGTTTCTCCTTTCATATATCTTCTGTGTAAGCAGCAGGTTTATTTATGTAAAGGTTTGACATGTTTGACTTCAACATGAGAATTGCTGACAGGATTTTATTTCAGCCTCTTAGGCTATAAGGTGTATCTATTAGGGCAGATATTATTTCTCTCGTTCATAGCTGTGTTCATAACACTTAGAACAGTACTGGAAAATAAGTGAGTGTCCGAAGGAATGAACTGTTGAATCACTGAAGAGTTTGACTCTTCTAAGGGCTGTCCTTTCGCTAAGACTGATTTTTCCATAAAGCATTTCTCTAAGTTGAATCTTGGAGGGTAAAGAGGTGGAAGAGAGCCTTTCAGGCAGAGGTAGCAGCAAGAGCAAAGGCAGGGAGGAATAGGACTGAATGGGATGTGTGTGTATAGAGAACAGCCATGAGATACTAATAATTCTTCCTTGTCGTATGTCTCTGGTCATTCCAGAAAACTTAGTAATATTAATAGTTATATTAGTAGCCATGATGTGTTCTGGGAATTGTGTTTCGTTTAAAAGTTTCTGTGCATGGTGTGGTTAGGTGAGGATTCAGTGTATAAAATATGACCAAACTGACAGAAAACTGTGTTGGTCTTCCTCTTTGTGTCCGTGGCCTAATAGAAGGCCTCTTGGAAACCTTCTCTGAATCCCAGGCAGAACTTACTGCTTCCTAATCTGTGTTCATGTAGCATATTATTGCTATCTCTAATATTGTGTTATATTGACTTATTTCATGTTTCATGTCATTAGTAGTCCTGACCATGCCTTTAATAATTCCTAGGGTCTAACATGTAGTAGTTGTTAATTAAATGTTGATGAACAGTTGAACAAAAGGATGTTTATACCCTGTATTGGCCACGTTAAATTTATGTTCAGCTTCTGTATCCATTTTTTCTTGTAGCTATTTGTCGTAGATGTCCAGACAAGCCAGATCACCAAGATCCCCATTCTGAAAGACCGGGAGCCTGGAGGTGTGACCCAGCAGGGCTGTGGTATCCATGCCATCGAGCTGAATCCTTCTAGAACACTGCTAGCCACTGGAGGAGACAACCCCAACAGTCTTGCCATCTATCGACTACCTACGCTGGATCCTGTGTGTGTAGGAGATGTAAGTTTTCCCAGTAGTTGTAGTTGGAGGGAGCCTTGTTTTTAAACGGGTCTCAGTGATTAACATGGACCCTCCTCTCATCAGCCCAGAGTGGGGACTGGACTCCCCATAGGGCACAGTGTATATTTGATAAAGGGGCAAGCAGCACACCTCAGGGGCCAACAGTATTGGGTTGCTGTTTGAATCCATAGTGTCCACATACTTCCCACTGCCCATAGTCAGAGAGTAGCAGTTTACTAAATCATCCATTCATTCATCAGGCATTTATTGAGTCTTCTATGGCTAGGCGTTGTTTGAGACATAGCAGTGAACAGAACAGATAAAGCCCCTGTCCTCTTGAAGCCTACATTCTAGTGGAGGGTGACATATAGACAAAACATAAACCATATAAACTAATATTTACCAGTAATACATCAGAGTGTGATAAGTGCCATGGAGAAGAATAAAGGCAGCATAAAGGGACTGAGAGTAAGGTGGAGGATGCTGTATCAGAAGATAAAGTTTCATTGATAGGATGACGCTTGAGCAGGGAGACTTAAAGGAAATGAGGGTACAAGCCATGTAGATGTCTAGATGTCTGGAGGAAGAGAGTTCCAGATGGAAGATGGGACCCAGAGGTAGAAGGCAAGAGCTATGTGTCCACTACCCACAGTAGTGCCAATTTCATTCCAGCTTTGAGCTCCTCAAGATAGAAGGTAAAGATTGATCATTCTCTGTGGGTTGAGACCACCAGAGATCAGAGTTGTAATTTCTACAAAAATATTTTCAGTCTGACTTGTATGCTTCTTTAGAGAGTTTATTACAATCCTTATTTTACTAATTTCTTATTTTCCTCCCTGTACCTGTTACTCCCTGCTCTCCAAGGATGGACACAAGGACTGGATCTTTTCCATCGCATGGATCAGCGACACTATGGCAGTGTCTGGTAAAGTTGCCCTTTTATAGGGAGCTTTTGATGTGGCAGGGATTGGGGGCTAGAGATTGAAAAGGGATAGTAGTGTGATAGGAAACAGCCCAGCCGGGCTCAGTGACTCACGCCTATAATCCCAGCACTTTGGGAGGCTGAGGTGGGTGGATCACTTGAGCCCAAGAATTTAAATTAGTTGAGTGTGGTACTGCATACTTGTTGTCCCAGATACTCAGAAGGTTGAGGCAGGAGGATTGCTTGAGCCCAGGAGAACCAGGCTGCATCAAGCTGTGATCGTGCCACTGCACTCCAGCCTACATGACAGAGGGTGACCCTGTAGAATAATAATTTCTTATTTAGTGTAAAAGTGATACACATTTATTGTAAGAAAATTTTAAAATATAGGCCGGGTGTGGTGGCTCACACCTGTAATCCCAGCACTTTGGGAGGCCGAGGTGGGTGGATTATGAGGTCAGGAGTTCGAGACCAGGCTGGCCAGCATGGTGAAACCCTGTCTCTACTAAAAGTACAAAAAATTAGCTGAGTGTGGTCGTGGGCGCTTGTAGTCCCAGCTGCTCAGGAGACTGAGGCAGGAGAATTGCTTGAACCCGGCAGGCAGAGGTTGCAGTGAGCTGAGATCGCGCCACTGCACTCCAGCCTGAGCAAGTGTGAGACTCCATCTCAAAAAAAAAAAAAGGATGGATAGATAGATAAGATAGATAGATAAAAAAGGAAGTAAGGACCACCCACAAGATCTCTATCCAGAGATAACCACTTTTTTTTGTGGGTTGTTTCGTTTTCTTTTTGAGACAGTGTCTCATTTTGTCACCCAGGCTTGAGTGCAGTGGCATGATCCTAGCTCACTGCATCCTTGAGCTCTTGGGCTCAAGTGATCCTTCTGCCTCAGGCTCCCAGGTAGCTGGGACTATAGGCACACACCTTCACACCCAGCTAGTAATAACGACTGTTGACATTTTAAAATATAACTTGCTAGTCTTTTTTTAGTACCTTTTTTCTTTTCCTTTAGACACAGGGTCTTGCTCTGTCACCCAGGCTGGAGTGCAGTGGCACCATCATGGCTCACTGCAGCCTTGAACTCCTGGGCTCAAGCTATCCTCCTGCCTCAGCCTCCCAAAGTGTTTAGATTATACAGGCATGAGCCACTGCACCCAGCCTTAGTATGATTTTTTTTTTTTTTTGAGACAGAGTCTCACTCTGTCTTCCAGGCTGGAGTGCAGTAGCACGACCTCGGCTCACCACAACCTCCGCTTCCCAGGTTCGAGCGATTCCCCTGCTTCAGCCTCCTGAGTAGCTGGGATTACAGGTGCCCACCACCACGCCAGGCTAATTTTTCTATTTTTGGTAGAGATGGGGTTTCACCATATTGGCCAGGCTGGTCTCAAACTCCTGACCTCAGTGATTCGCCTGCCTCGGCCTCCCAAAATTGGCCCATATTTTTTAGTTGGTTAATATGAGATCATTTAGAAGATGCATATATAGAATTCTTTGTGAAATTCTTTCTTTTTTTTTTTTGGAGACGGAGTCTTGCTGTGTTGCCCAGGCTAAAGTGCAATGGTGCAATCTTGGCTCACTGCAACCTCCGCCTCCTGGGTTCAAGCACTTCTCCCTGCCTCAGCCTCCTGAGTAGCTGGGATTACAGGTGCCCACCACCACGCCTGGCTAATTTTTGTATTTTTTAGTAGAGATGGGGTTTTGCCATGTTGGCCAGGCTGGTCTTGAATGCAGGACCTCAGTTGATCCACCTGCCTCGGCCTCCTAAAATGCTGGGATTACAGGCATGAGCCACTGCACCTGGCCTCATTTTTTTACACTTTAAAATTTTCATAATAAAACTTTGATGGGGTAAATGAGGTCACACTGTACACAAAGTAATCTTCTGAAACACAGTTATCTAATTTTCTCACTCTGATGCTCAAATCTTTGAGAGACTTTCTAGTATCTGTAAGATGAGAAACAAATTTTATAGCACAGCATACAAGGCCCACACCTATCTTTCCAACTTTCTCTCTCATAGCTTCCATGCTTGCACCCCATAATCCAGCATTAACAAACCATGTCTAGTTCTCCAGATGTGCCCTTGTCTCTGTGGCCTTTTCTAATTTCACATAATTAACATTCTACTTTGAATTGATGTGTCTGTCATTTTAGATGTTTTTTTCTTTTTTTTTAATTTTTGAGACAGAGTCTCGCTCTGTCGCCCAGGCTGGAGTGCATCTTGGCTCACTGCAACCTCAGCCTCCCAGGTTCAAACACTTCTCTTGCCTCGGCCTCCCAAGTAGCTGGGACTACAGGTGCGTGCCACTGTGCCTAATTTTTGTATTTTTGGTAGAGACAGGGTTTCACCATGTTGGCCAGGCTGGTCTCAAACTCCTGACTTCAAGTGATCTGCCTGCATCGGCCTCCCAAAGTGCTGGAATTTCAGGCGTGAGCCACTGCGCCTGGCCTAGATGTTTTTTTCTATGAAGTGTTCAGGAGATTAGCAGTGTGGGAAGGGCACCTTCTTGGTCTCAAAGGAGAACTGGCAAATAAGTTTACTGGAAAAAGAATTTTAAAACACATTTTCGTTGTTGTTGTTACTGTTGTTGTTGTTGAGACAGGGTCTCACTCTGTTATGTAGGCTGGAGTGCAGCGTGTGATTATTGCTCACTGCAACCTCGAACTCCCAGGATTAAGAGATCCCCTCAAGTAGCTGGGACTACAGGCACACACCACCACACCCGGTTAATTATTTCTATTTTTTATAGAGACTGGGTCTCGCTTTGTTGCCCAGGCTGCTGTCAAACTCCTAGGCTCAAGCGATCCTCCCACTTGAGCCTCTCGAAGTGCTGGGATTACAGGCATGAGCCACTATGCCCGGCCTAAAACATAATTTCTTGATACTCTGTTTTATGGATATAATATAACCCTATTGTTGAACATACTGAGTGTTCCGAATAAACAACTTTGTGTATGGGTATTGTGATAGTGGATTGTTTCTGAATGGGAATATAAACTTACTTTTTATTTTTGTTTCTTTTTTTTTTTTGAGATGGAGTCCTCCTCTGTCGCCCAGCTGGAGTGCAGTGGCCATGTCTTAGCTCACTGCAACCTCCGCCTCCCAGGTTCAAGCGATTCTCCTGCCTCAGCCTTCTGAGTAGCTGGGACTACAGGCGCGTGCCACCACGCCGGGCTGGTTTGTCTTTTTAGTAGAGATGGCTTACAACATGTTGGCCAGGTTGGTCTTGAACTCCTGACCTCGTGATCCACCTGCCTCGGCCTCCTAAAGTGCCGGGATTACAGGCATGAGCCACTGCGCCCAGCTGTTGTTTCTCTTTTTTTTTTTTTTTTTTTTTTTTGGAGTTAAGGTCTCGCCCTGTCACCCAGGATGGAATGCAGTGGCGTGATGTGATCATGGCTCACTGCAGCCTTGACCTCCCAGTCTCAAACAATCCTCCTGTCTCAGCACCCCACCCCTGTCCCTGAGTAGCTGGGACTACAGGCATGTGCCACCATGCCTGGCTAGTTTTTTGTATTTTTTTGTACTGATGGTGTTTCAACATTTTGCCCAGGCTGGTCTCAACGTCCTGGCCTCAAGCGACCTGCCTGCCTAAGCCTCCCAAAGTGTTGCGATTACAGTCGTGAGCCACTGCGCCCAGCCAGGAATATAACATTTCCTTGCTGCAGGTTGCTCAGTTGTCCTCTAGAAAGATACCATTTTAGCTTGCCACCAACAGTATATTCAGGGCTCAATTCACAGAAAAGTGTTCTTGTTTTTTGTTGTTGTTTGTTTGTGTGTTTGTTTTGAGATGGAGTCTCTGTCATCCAGGCTGGAGTGCAGTGGTGTGATCTCGGCTCACTGCAACCTCCGTCTCCTGGGTTCAAGCAATTCTCCTGCCTCAGCCTCCTAAGTATCTGGGATTACAGGCACACGCCCTACTAATTTTTGTATTTTTAGTAGAGACAGGGTTTCACCATGTTGGTCAGGTCGGTCTCAAACTCCTGACCTCGTTATCTGCCTGCCTCAGCCTCCCAAAGTTCTGGGGTTACAGGCGTGAGCCACCGTGCCCGGCCTGGGTTTTTAAGTGCTTTATTATTGTTTGCTAAGAAAACTGATTTATCTTTTTAAGCATTCATTTTATATAAAACAGTCATTATTCTTTTTTTTTTTGGAGGCAGGGTCTTACTCTGTTGCCCAGACTGTTGGTGTGATCCCAGCTCACTGCACCCTTGACCTCTCCAGGCTCCAGTGACCCTCCCACCTCAGCCTCCCGGGTAGCTGGTACCACAGGTTTGCGCCACCATGCCTGGCTAATTTTGTATTTTTTGTAGAGACAGGGTTTTGCCATGTTACCCGGTCTCCCAGAGTGCTGGGATTAAAGGCATATACCACTGTACCCAGCCTAGAATAGTCGTCATTATTATCTTTTTTTTTTTTTTGCGACAGGGTCTCACTCTGTCACCCAGGTTGGAGTCTGTGGCACAATTTCAGCTCACTGCAACTTCTACTTCCCAGGCTCAAGCTATCCTCCCAGCTCAGCCTCCTGAGTAGCTGGGACCACAGGCGTGCCCCACCACGCCTGGCTAATTTTTTGTATTTTTGGTAGAGATGGGGTTTCGCCATGTTGCTCAGGCTGGTCTCAAACTCTTGAGCTCAGGCGGTCCACCTACCTCAGCCTCCCAAGTTGCTGGGATTACAGGTGTGAGCAGTAATTCTTAATAAAGAACGGTCTAGAACAGTCATTCTTAATAGAAGGATTGTGGGCCGGGCACAGTGGCTCATGCCTGTAATCCTTGCACTTTGGGAGGCTGAGGAGGGTGGATCACCTGAGGTCAGGAGTTCAAGACCAGCCTGAACAACATAGAGAAACCCCGTCTCTACTAAAAATACAAAATTAGCCGGGCATGGTGGCACATGCCTGTAATCCCAGCTACTCGGAAGGCTGAGGTAGGAGAATCACTTGAACCCAGTAAGCAGAGGTTGCGGTGAGCCAAGATCGTGCCATTGCATTCTAGCCTGGGCAATAAGAGTGAAACTCTGTCCCACCACCAAAATAAATAAATAAATAATAAAGGAATTATGGCCGGGCACAGTGGCTTACACTTGTAGTCCCAGTATTTCGAGAGACTGAAGCAGGAGTTTGAGGTCAGGAGTCCAAGACCAGCCTGGGTAACATAGTGAGACCCCATTTCTACAAAAAAATGAAAATAAAAAATTACCTGGGCATGAGGATACATGCCTGTAGACCCAGCTACTTGGGAGGCTGGGGCAGGAGAATTGCTGAAGCCCAGGAGGTTGAGGCTACAATGAGCCATAATCATGTTATTGCACTCCAGCTTGGGTGACAGAGCCAGAACCTGTCTCATTTAAAAAAAAAAAAAAAAAAAAAGTTGGGGAGGGTTTGTGGTCCCTGTGGGTTCATGGAAAGCCCATGGATTTCAGGAAATCCATGGGTCTCCCTGAAATTGAATGTAAAATGTGGTGTTTTGTGTAATTTTCTAGAAAAAGAGGCCTAGTCTGGGTATGGTGGCTCATGCCTTTAAT